>NC_000004.12:113618350-113769865 GCF_000001405.40 Homo sapiens
ACTAGCCCCTGGAGAATAGTAAATGGAAAATCTTATTAGATCATCTTCTCTTTGTAACTTACTACCATATTATCTTAACACTTGCAACTGTATTTTCCCTAGAGACTCATTAGCCCAAATGCTCTCATCTTTCAATTCCTTTTTTGAAAATTCATTTATTGCATTTTTCCAAAGTTGATATGTCCTATAAGCAGGAAATCTGTGAGTTTAAAATCCTAATACATGTTAAGAAATGCAATATAACTGGCTTGTAGACATATTGTACTATAATATTATATTATCCAATAACATTTGCCTCTATATATCTATTTTTATGATGAAAGCACTTAAAATATCAGTTTATTTCTCCTGGATAATACATGCAAAAGAAGTACATGAAAAATACATTCTGTAATCTTAGGCTCACAATCTGGGAAAAACATGGGAGTTATTTATGAACTTGCTCATGAATTAGATGCCATGGGAATAATGAAGAATACTAGTAAATATAGCTGCAGGCACCAGTCTGCATCTATCAGGCACCTAATATATTTTTATCTAAGCCTTCGAGAGAACAGTTAGTTCAGCCTAGGTCAATGATGTTTCTAAAGTAAAGAATAATTATCTATTTATCATGAAATCAAGGAAGTTATAATGAATGTCAGACATCTCAAACGTGTGGTGCATTTGCTTGTTTCACTTATCTCATAGACATCTCAAACCAAACAAGCTCAAAGAACTCGTGATCGTCCCCCTAAAACCTGCTTCATCCATGGTCTTCCATCTTTCCAGTTGCTCATAAAAACCCCAAGGTAATTCTTGACCCTTTCTGTGAAAGCAAAATCTAATCTGAAAGCAAATCCTTCTAAATATAATAGGGTGAGATGGAATATACATACATATATAGAAAATCTGACCACTTTTCATCTCCTCTACTGTTACAAGCCTGATCTATGGCAAGTCCAGTAGCCTCCTATCTCATTTCTGTGTTTCTACCCTGCCCTCTCACTGTCTTTACCACAGCAGCCAGAACAATCCTGTTAAAACTTAAATCTGATTATTGTCCTTAGGTTCAGAATCCTCCAATGGCTCTCCACTTACTGTCTCTGAGTAAGAGCCCAAATTCCATTCATGGCCTAAAAGGTCCCTCGCTCCACCCTCATTATCCCCCTAACCTCTCCTACTACTCATCCCTGGCCCATTGCACTCCAACTTCATTGGCATCCTTGCTGCTTCTGGAGAACTCCAGGCAAGCTCCTGTCTCAGAGCCTTTGCACTTGATGTTTCCTCTGCCTGGAATTATTTCCCCGATATTCACATGGCTCATGGCCTCATCTGTTTTAAGTCCCTAAGCAGCTTTTCAGAGTATTCATTTTTGTAAATACAGATTTTTTTTTGGAACATAGCCACATCAATTTGTTTACGTATTATCCATGTTGGTATAAAGCTAGGATTTCATTGTTTAATAATTGCAACTAAGACATGTCCAGAAAACTGAAAATACAAACCCCTTTACAGAAAAAGTCTGTTGACCGCTGGAGTAGAGGGTAAGATTGCTGAAAGAGAGAATATAGGTGCTGAGAGGCCGGAGTTTGGCATGCATAATCTATGTGGCTAAGTAAAGCCATGAAGAATGATGGCAGAAGTGGAAAGGAGAGAACGTAGTAAGTCAGTTACTATATAATACAACAAATGATGGGAATCACCAAGAGAATGATAGAAAACTGCTGCACTAAGAATGTAGGATGTTATAATCTAAAAATGTGTTTCTCAAAGATAGGGTTGGGTAAGGATGGAGGTAGGGGATATTGAAGGAGGAGGTGTTAACTATGGTCTTATAAAAGCAGTGAAGAGCGAGAAAACATCTGTCCATCCCTTGGTTCTGTGGTGTGTAGAGGCCCAAGAAAACAGCCAACACCTCCAGGTGCTGCAGATAAAGCAGCTCACTCGAGAGTCAGACTGCAGTCAGCACAACAATAAATGAACAGAGATTATTAGAGAACAGGGGGCAGTTTGCAAATATTATGATACTAGACTTATTATTGTACAATTAAAGGGAAAAAGAAAACTAATGAAAAGTGTGAAAAGTTGGCAACTTTCTCACAGTCTAGGCATTAACCAAACAGTTATTCAAATTGCTTAAGATTCAAACTTGGTAAACTTTCTTATTTTTTTACAAGAGTTTTTTTTTTTTTTTGAGACAGAGTCTCACTCTGTCACCAGGCTGGAGTGCCCTGGCATGATCTTGACTCACTGCAACCTCCGCCTCCCAGGTTCAAGCAATTCTCCTGCCTCAGCCTCCTGAGTAGCTGGGACTACAGGCGTGCACCTACATGCCCAGCTAATTTTTGTATTTTTAGTAGAGACAGGATTTCACCATGTTAGCCAGGATAGTCTCGATCTCTTGACCTTGTGATCTGCCTGCCCTGGCCTCCCAAAGTGCTGGGATTACAGGCGTAAGCCACCACACACTTCTATGAGCGATATTTTTAAGTAAATTATATTTTTAAGAACCAAATTTAAGAAATATAATTTTTGGTATTTTATTACTATTATATTTCCAAAGGTTCTAAATCTTATTAAAGTGTGATTGTGATTTTACATATTTTTTATTTTTTGGAGACAGAGTCTTGCTCTGTTACCCAGGCTGGAGTGCAGTGGTGTGGTCAAGGCTCACTGCAGACTCCAACTCCTGGGCTCAAGTCATCTTCCCATCTCAGCCTTCCAGTTACTAGAGGCACACACCACCACACCTGGATAATTTTTTGTTTTTGTAGAGACGAGGTCTCACTACGTTGTCTTGGCTTGTGATTTTAAGTGTTTATGCATATGTCCTGTATTTATAGCATCTGAATTATTTAGAGAACAATCAATAGTTACTCTGATTTTATTCACTCATTATATAAAGATACTATATCTTCATACTTGGTCTGAATATGCATTTTAATTAAGTTTTCTTCCTAGTTCTTATATGCCAGATGAAATACTGTAAAAAATGAATAAAGAAGATACATTTTAAATGTTCTCAATAAAAACACCCATATGACATTAATTCTTTTTCTGATGAAAATTGGTTTTGCCACCTCTATTCTTAAGCAAACTATTTTGTCAAACTGTCCTTCAACCCTGAACAAAAAAACATTAATAGAAAATATGTTCCAAGATTCTTGGAAAATATATTTACGTCTATATTCTTGACTAGAGTCTTCATTCAGAGATTCTAAGCCAATGGGATAAATGAGTAGCTTCATGAATAGTTGTACCTAAGATTTTTAAGAAGACAGAGCACAGTATTATAAGAAATAAGGTTCTGGGAGGGTTCATTCTTTCAGTCACTCAGCAAATTTTCTTGAATGCTATTTGCTGGGGATATAACTGTGAACAAATCAAGGAATGGTGATCTCAGCACTCATACAGTCATTAAGACAAAATCCTCTCACTAATTTTGTAATTCTGCATTCTGGATTATTGGCTTTGCAGCTAAGGCATATCCCATAAAGCATGTTTCATTTTACAGTCTTCTCATTATCCACGCCCAGGGAAGCACAAGAACACAATATAACTATGTGGCAAACAAATCTAACAAGTCATAGGTTTTAACTAAATGAACTACGAAATGTCTTCATCTATATGGGGCTACTAAATCAACAGTCTTTATCCACTGACAAACTCATTAAATCAAACAACATACTTTTCTGATTTTTCTTTTTTTTCAAAATTAACTTGCTATTGAGAAAGTTTAACAAATTGTTTAACCTGAAAGACAAATTTCCTGGTAAACAACCATTTAACATCCCCTGTGTCTTTGCCTCAAATCCATTACCAACAAGGCAGTCATCCTTTCAAAATGCAAATCTGATTATATCACACTTGACTAGTTTAAAATTTGTCAACCCTTCCTATTAATTTTATGTTGAGGAGCAAACTTCTTAACGTGACCCATTTATCATGTATCATCCAAACTGGGACACTCTGAGAGTGAAAAGAGAGTGATTAATTTTTATACCAGTAAACCAGGACAGCCCCTAGAAAAGAGGTTAGTGTGGCTATCCCACCCACAAGGCCCTACCTCTTCAAATTCCTTCACATTCTCCCTCACTGTTTCCCCTCCAGCTCCCTCCAGCAGGCATCTTTGTTAGGAAAAAAATAATATAGCTGGGCACAGTGGCTTATGCCTGCGATCCCAATGCTTTGGGAGGCTAAGGCAGAAGTATCGCTTGAGCCCAGGAGTTCGAGACCAGCCCGGGCCACAAAGTGACGCCCCATCTCTACAAAACATTTTTTAAAAGCTGGACGTGGTGTTGCATGCCTTTGGTTTCAGCTACATGGGAGGCTGAAGAAGGAAGATTGTTTGAGCTCAGGAGCTCAAGGCTACAGTGAGCCATGTTTGCACCACTGCGCTCCAACCTGGGTGACAATGAAACCCTGCCTCAAAAATATATAAATATGTATCTCCATATTCAAAACCTGCAAATGGCCAAAAGAACACATGTCCATTGAATGACATGATGAAACACTGTTTAACTGACTCACCTGAGGATTATCTAATTCTCTAGAATAGGTATCTTTATTTTGTTTTATTTGCTATTGATTAGGCTTTAATCAGGAGTCTGCAAACCATGGTCTGTGGGCCAACTTGGGATAGGAGAGTGTTTTTATATAGTCCATGAGCATAAGGATACGTAACAGAGAACTTACATGGCCCACAAAGCCTAAAAAATTTACTCCTTTACAAAAAAAGTTTGCCAACTTCTGGATTAAGAAAACTGATGATGCTGAAAATGATTCTCAAAGGTTATACCCTTGTTGCCTGTAAAGCAATAACCAGTTTAGTTTTATGGCAATTACATCCTAGCATTCTTTTTTTCAGTGACTATGCATATTTCTGTTACTCCTACACTTTTTTGAACTGGCTTTGGCATCTTGCTAGTTCTCTCATTAGTAAAGTATTCTGTGATAAGTATTTTATAAAAAATAAAATATAAAGTATTTTGTAAATAAGTAATAATGACTACAGATTAATGATGATCAATGATCTATCATGATGTGTATATACACACACACACACACACACCCACACAGACACAAACACTTATAGCATGTGTCACTTAACTACAGAGATACATGCTGAGAAGTGTTGTTAGGTGGTACTGTTGTGCAAACATCAAAGTGTACTTATACAGACCTAGATGGTATAGCCTACTACACACCTAGCCTATATGGTAGTGTATTTCTCCTAGGCCACAAACCTGCACAGTATGTTACTGTACTGAATAAGCAACAACTGTTAACATAATGGTTAGCATCTGCTTATCTGAGCATAGAAAAGATAACAGTAAAAATATGGTATTATCTGACCATCATCAATGCAGGCAGTCTGTTGTTAACTAAACATTGTTATGCAGTGACTGTGTGTGTGTGTGTGTGTGTGTGTTATGTTTTAATTAGTAAATATATCATGTTATATGAATGTACCATTATCTATATAATCAGTCTTCTGTGTAAGGACATTTGAATTGTCTTCTGTCTCCTGTTCTTCAGCCCTATCACTCTCACTCACCCTCAAGGAGCTTCTCATTGTGTATTAAATATGTATACATCACCGAGCCAGGATTTCAAGGTCTTCTTTGGTCCAGAAGTATTTAACTGATAATCTATTGTTTCTGACCTCTGAGATCCTTTCCTGGAATGCTGCCTACTCCAGTCCCTACCATAGAAGCCCTACTCTTCATGCTTAAATGCCAGGTGCTCACAGTTCATGGCTCAATGGAGACTTTCCTTCTATTTTCTGTAGTTCTTGGAGCCTCACTTCTAGTAAATTTAAGGAAAATAGGAGACTCAGTCAATCTTGAATAAGTTTAACCGCCTTGGAAGTAATACATCCTAAGATTTGATATGTAACAGGTAAAGAAAATAAAAAGTATGTCAAATTTCCATCCACAGCCAAGATGTACCATGGAAAGATGTCTTGAATATAACTTCTACAAAAAATAAGCAAGCAAACTTGAATCTTTTCAATCACCTTATAACATGCTTGGTATAAGATAATATTTTTGCTAATTGGCAAAAAAATAGACAAATGGAAAATAAGTATTTGCTGTTGTACTTACATGCCTTAATCAGTTACAATGAACATTCTTGCTCACTTGGCAGGAACGGTGGGCATATTCCTTTGCTCTGACTTTATATATATTAAGTAACTTTCTGTTCTTAACTTGCCTTCTTATGTGAACTTTCATACAAGTGAGACAACACGTGAGCAGTAAACACAGTAGTACCCTAAAAGGAACTGTAGTCTGCAAAATCTGGTGGTGTATTTCTGGTCTCTGTATTTACTGTGGCTAGTATATTCTGGCATACATAAGAAACTGCGTTGAAGGAATAAATGGATTGGTGTATCAGTGGGTTGTTTTAGGCTGAGTCAGTGTCTTAAACCAAATCATCTCTGGTGAATGATAAGCCCATAATTTTGTAATTAGAAAATAAATGGAAAGTCCAAACTTTAGACACATGGTAACCTATAATCAACAAATAGGCACCATAAGAATTGCAGAGAAAGCTGACTTTCAACTTTATACAAAATTTAACATCCTTTTAGCTACAATAATAGTTATCCAACCTTGCATTGTTCTGAAGTTTTGTGTATGTCCTTGATAGAAGCAAAGTCTTCTCTTCTTTCTGACCAAGCACATGGAATCAGTTGGAAGAGACCACCTGCCTAGTCAGCCAGATGTCTGGTGATCAATGGAGCAGATACAGGAGGTAGCAGCAGGATCAGACTTATCTTCTAGTTACATGTACATACTTCTTTAATTCATGGAATGTTGAAGACAGGGAGCAGGCACTCAATAAATAGTCATTGGTGATAAATTCCTTATTCTTCCAGTGAATATTTATTGAGTTCCTACACTGGGCAAAATATTATAGGTACTAAGAATAAAGCATGAAACAAAATAACGTGCCTGAGCTCACAAAGTTTATGTGCAAATATGAGAAGACTGATCAATATTAAGCAAATATGTAAATATATACATAGGAAATTGATAAGTGTTCTGAAAAACAATAAAGCAGGGTAAGAGGGAAGTGAGTACCAGAAGAAGGGAAAGAAAGGGTATTTGGGAAAAGCATCACTGATAAGGTGAATTTTAAGGAGAGACCAGAAGGAAATGAATAGTGTAAGCCATGGAGATGCCTCAGGGAAGACCATATGGAAGATAGACAAAAGCAAATACAAAGATCCTATAGCAAGACTTTACTTGACCAGTTTGAGAAACAGTGTGTCTGTAGAAGAGTGAACAGGGGAGAAGGCAGTAGAAGATGAGATCAGAGGTGTGAGTATCGGGGGTGTGAGTATGAGGGGTTATACAGAGCCTTGGAGTATGCCATTATTAAAGGCTTTGGCCCTTCCTCTGAGCTAGATGGGAATTCACTGTAGAGTTCTGAGGAGAGGGTGATATGCTCTGCTTGTTTTAAGAACACATCCGTGACTGACGTGTTGAAAATACACTGTAAGGAAGCAAAGGTAGAAACACAGAAACATGCATGTAAAAAGTCAGGTGATGTAATCCCAGCCACTCTAGAGGCTAAGGTGGGAGAATCGCTTGAACCCAGGAGGTGGAGGTTGTAGTGAGCCAAGATTGCACCACTGCACCCCAGCCTGGGTGACAGAGTGAGATATCATCTCAAAAAAAAAAAAAAGTCAGGTAAAAGATAACAGAGTTTCAAACCAGGGTGGTGACACCAAAGGTACAATGAGATCAGATTCTGAATACATTTTGAAAGTAGAGCAGACAGGAACTGCTGAGAGAGTGGGATGTGAGAGGAGAGGAGTAATGAATGATGTCAATGTCCTCAGTAACTGGTATACTGGAATATATGAAGATGGAGGTGTAACAGGTTGAAAAGATGGAAGTAAATTGGAAATGCCAAATGTATCATCTAACGGAGAAATCAAGAAAAACAAATTCATTCTTTAGTGGATGAAATCTACTCTTGGCCTACCTGAATATACCACTTTAAAACTAGGTATCAGAACATTACATGTTGTGTTTGAGAGCAAGAGCTCTAAAGCTGCATGAATGTTGTGTACTATTGTTATTATTAAATTACATTAAAGGAAATTGTTATTAAACATTTGTTTTAAATTCTGCATTAAATAAAGTTGATACATTTGTTATGAATAAATATTACATGAAATAAATCCTTTCATACTAGGCAGTTATTTTACCATGTGGGACAATAGGGTTTCAGAGAATGGATAGCCCAAGGAAGAATAGAAGCACTTGACTGGATCAGGAAGTGTTGGTTCAGGCCCTGACTACCAATAGCTTGCTCTCCAATCTTGGCAAAGTAGACAGCGGATCTGGACCTCCATTCCTTGCAGGCAAATAGAAGGGTTCAGTTAGATGGGACTCAGCTGTTTTCTTCAACTGGAACAATCCACCAGCATCTAACTTTAAACAACATTTCTCGTAATGATGATGTATAATTCACAATGTTTTAAAAAAAACTCTCTTCAGTGGAGATTTAGGATATTGGTTAAGAAGGGCAATTTAATTTCGCGGTATGATGAATCAGGCTCATATAATCCAGAGACCAGGGAATTCAGACACAAATTCAACATTTTACTTAGGTTCACTTTTATTCACTATACAAATGAAGAATTAAGATTTTTCATAGAGATTTGTAAAAATGTTTTTTAAAAATAGGCTTGTTTTATACATGAATAAAGCAGCAAATTATTACATGTAAAATTCTTATTATTTCCCTTTAATCATTGACTGTCCTATGATGCTCTCTTTGAAGTGAAAAAAAGCAGAGAAAAAATACATTTGAAAATAATGATATTATCCTATTAATGCCATTAATGGATGGTTGCATCTCTATATAGAAACGTGTTCCTCTATAAGTGAAGGTTAATTTGATTCTTTCAATTTATATCATTTTTCCATTACATTTCACTGTAATAAATTTTGGACTTCTTAATACAGGTGATTCTTATTATCTGCAGTAGTTATGTTCTATAAAATCATCATGAACATTGAATGAGCAATATACTAAACCACTGTTCCTGGGGGAAATACAGGGTTAGTTTCCTGCAAGCCCCTAGTCACAACATTTCTGTCAACTAATCAATATATAACCTAGTTTTATGTGTGTTTCTGTTTAAAGAGATCTTAACTGATACACATTGTTGATTCATTGACATTGAACCCACAGTAAAAGGCATTACAACTCATGCATGAATGAAGCTTATCTAACACACAGATATTTTCCATAAGGCACATCACAACCTTCTTGAGCTTAGGAACTCTAGACAGCACTGCAGCTTTATATTTGGGGACCATTTTAAACAGGAAAATTAGCAAGGAAAAGCACCAAAACATGGCATTACATAGATGGTGAAAAGGGCATTTGCTTAGTGTTTATAAAAGCTTAAACAAGAAGGCAAAGTGGGGCCTTATTAGACCTTAGCTGGGTACACACATGCACACAATGTGACTCAAACATCTTGCTGCTCTGCATGTCTGTGAAGGTCCACGAGTGACCACCAAAGGGCTTCAAGTACAGATGGGATTACAAATAAATTTTCCAAGAGCAGGCAAACTTGCAGTTACAGAAACCACAAATAATGAAGATCAACTGTATTTATTTCTTATCAACTGATCATGGCTCTTAGCCCTTTAATTATATTTATCTGCTCTTTAGAACTACTATCAAGATAACTGTTGATTAATAAACACACTTAACTGTAGATGAGGAAATCAAATCTATGTGGTTAACCATTCATGAAATTTTTAATAAATCAATTACCACCTAATCAATCTACTTTATAAGTTTGCATTTTGTAGATACGACCTTTCTAAATATTTAATATTGCATGAATTATAAACACTACTAAAAGAGTATCTACAAATTATGACACTGTGTTAGAGACTACATTAGCAAATTACACTACAGTTTATAACCTACTAGAAGATTGGCTTCCATTCAGGAAAGGAAATAAAAAAGAAATAGAAAAGGAATAAGAAATATAGCCTTGTTAATTTTAAAAAGCAATCTTTAATATTAATATAAGCTATAATTAACATTAATGTGAAAATTATATTTAAAAATGCGCAGTAAAATCAGAAGTCTGGGTGACCTTTCTTCTGGATTCCTGCCGTGAAACAGTGAAGTTTGAAGTGATTTTGTTATCTATCATACTCTCTGATCCTCTCAAAGGACTTATCTTTCCTGGTACAAAGCCTCTGGGCATTAAAATTATTCATCATTTCATGACATATTTGGGGCTCCCTGGCAAAAACAGCTCTCTGAAGATGATGCACGTAAATAAAACGGGTATAAAAGAAAGTCTTGTATTATGTAATGAAAAATGAAAAGAATGCCCTGTTGATGGTAAAGGTAATTTTTTTTCCTTCTTTTAAGGACAATAAAATCATAGAAAATAAAATGATATCAGTATCATTTTGGAAAAGTTTCTATTTTTAATATCTCCTAAACAAAAATGCTTTTGAACTAAGTTGAAGGTTTGGCTGAACAATCTGTGAACAAGAAAAAGAGCTGCTGTACCTGGTCCTCTTGCTTCAAGTTGCCAGTAATACAAAGCCAAACTGCACCAACAATGCCAAGCTCAGTTGGAAGAACATTTCCACCAACGTAAATAATATTTATTTCTAGAATTGAACAAAATACCTAAGCAGTAAAATATATATATATATATAACTCAGCAGTGCACTGGAATTAAGGGACTAATGATTTTTATCTGCAGCATATTCCCTCAATTATATAATTCATTAAACACAAAGAATAATGAGGAAGAAACTGTGCTAAGTATCAGGCTGAACAGAACTACCCATTGGACAGAGCCTCGGAAAACCTTTTAGAAACTACTAATGTAATTAAATCATCTGAACAAACAAATTTGTATCAGAAACTCCAAGAAGCTAAGGTAATAACAATTTCTGAGCAACCATTTTTGCCATAGTCAATTTTGAAAATCAAAAATAGACTCAAATTTTTTTAAATACTTTTTTAAGGAAACATGGCATTAACTGACAAAAGGTAAATTTCTGGTTTTTAAACTTTTTAAAATAAGAAATAACTTTCAGTAAATATTACATTCCATACAGTGACTCAATGCATATATAAACAAATAATATATATACATACATAACTAAAACATAAGTTACAGAAAACAATACTTAATCTTACTACATGTAATATACTCTGACATTTAATGAAATTTATCTCACTATATTTAGTGGTCGTTAAAGGGTCATAATGCACAGTTTGAAAACATCTAGACAACAGTATTTGTTATACCTCTCTCAGTTTGGGGCCTCATGGCTAGTAGTGAATTGACTTAGCAGTGAAAAAAAATTTCATCTCAAGTTCCTTGGATGATAATATATATCAAACAAATTTACTCTTGTCAATTGGATTATGTTCTTGGTAAAAAAAAAAAAAAAATAGAAAGGGAGGAAAAACAAATTCTCCATTCTATTATTTTATTGTGATAGCTTTCAACTCTAACTTTGGGCAGACTTACATACAGGAAATGATGTATAATTCACAATGTTTAAAAAAAAAAACTCTCTTCAGTGGAGATTTAGGATATTGATTAAGAATGGCAATTTAATTTAGCAGTATGATGAATCAGGCTCATATAATCCAGAGACCAGGGAATTCAGACATAAATGCAACATTTTACTTAGGTTCACTTTTATCTTTCTTCCTATTCACATCTAATTCAAATCACTATACTACAATATCCATTTGTTAGGTAGCAAAAAATGAATGCGTAGTTATTTTCAATGAAGAGAACTGTTTATACAGAGTTGAATTGTTTGGGCATGGAGGACAAAGCATAAAATAGAATAGTTTTTAAAAATGCCTTGAGAAACATTATCAATGAATGTTTCCTTACACCTGATCAGAGGTTTTGCAAATGCATGTTTATGGCTAGTTTTCTACTTTGTTCATTCATTCATTCTCACTAAAATTAATGAATTATTAGACCTGGGGTTATGCGGTCTTTGAGAAAAATCACTTGCACATTTGTTCAGTCAGGGTTCTTAGGATTGTTGACTGCAAACACTTGGGTATACGCCATCAATTCTAAGAAATTTATTAAACCAATATTGAATAGCTTCCAGAATTGTTGGGAGGGCTCAGGAATAAGTTTCCAGAAAAAAAGTCCCAAGACTAAGCTTCAGAACTAGCCTGATGGAAAAACAGCTGCCGCTACATCTGCTGCAATTAATACCAATAATATATGTCAACTGCCAATGCCACCAGGACCAATGTCACTTTCATATCAAAAATTAAATATACTGCTGACTCCTCAAACCACAGCCCTCGACCACCACATTCACTGAGAAAAATGGAAAGTCTGTGCAAAATCTGCCTTCTGACACTGATGAATCCCCAAATGAAGTATGGCAAACATCTGTTAGATGGGACAAGTCTACAAGCCTAGTGACATGCCTGCACACTGGCTGCAAGAAAGACTAGAAATTTGACTTCTGACTTCTAAGTTGCTAAGACATAACTCAGAGTGTTGTAATTTCATGAATTTAGAAAGTCTACTCAAATACTGTGGATATGCCAATTGTCTAGCATATTAGCATTTTATGTAACATATCATGGATCACGACATATTAAAAAAATCAAATCTCAGAATTTCAGAAGTGACAGGGACTTCAGAAAACAATTACAATCCAGCCCCTCAGTTGTACTAATGGAGTCCAGGGGCTATCTATTCATTTAAACCAGAGCCACAAATTGGTATTCTAAAGTCTGTGATGGTCTTTTACATTAGGCCATTCAAAAATCACCTCTTCTTATCTCCTATCACTAGTGCTATTTGTGAGCAGAGAATGGTTCAGCTGAGATTGTAGACTGAATATGGTGGCTCATGCTTGTAATCCTAGCACCTTTGGAGGCCAAGGCAGGAGGACCACTTGAGCCCAGGAGCTTGAGACCAGCCTGGGCAACATGGCAAAACCTCGTCTCCATTTTTTAAAAATTAAAATAAAAAATAAAGCAAAGAAAATGTAGGGAATTATTATGTTGAAGGTGGTACATTGATAATTTTAAACATCACCCAGACAGGCTGCAGTTGACATTTCCAATATTCAATGAACATTCGCCCTTTAACTGTGAGAATCTGCTAGCTAGTGATTTTGTGAGTTATTGCCCATTAGATGTAGGGCTTCTGGAACACATCGGCTCCTCTCTACACACCAACATACAAAACAGCAAGTCATACGCCTCAGAAGGATGACCCAGACCAAAACCAAAATGTTAGCTGGGTAACTATTGTCGTTGGCATCTATTTGCTTTTCATTAGGTTGGAACTGAACTAGAGCTTCAGGGAGATCAATGAGCACAGGGT
Source organism: Homo sapiens (assembly GCF_000001405.40). Taxonomy (NCBI): domain Eukaryota; kingdom Metazoa; phylum Chordata; class Mammalia; order Primates; family Hominidae; genus Homo; species Homo sapiens. The sequence continues at coordinate 113,631,729 of NC_000004.12, forward strand.
GCAGTGGTAAAAATGTGGCACCATAAACCTGCTTGCAATTAGCAACAGAACCTGAAAATTAATTCAGAAAGTAGATACACGTCAACACTAAGTGAAGAAACAAGTGTTCTGGATGATGAGCATGCTTTACTACTATGATGGTGAAAATAATGTGTCCTTATAGAGTTTACATACACTTGAAAGTTTTGAAGGAAAATGTAAGAGAATAGGGACTCCAATGATGAAATTGTAGATACAAGCCTGCTTTGGTTAGTTGAAACAGTATTATGTAGAATTGGGAAAATGATAGGCATATGTATTTATGATCCTCCCTCAGGAGCTTTGGCTTAAGAAGTTACAGGCTAACAATACTTGCTATCACTTATTATACAATCAAAGCCTATATGATGTGAATAGAGAGGTTCCTGATCTAAGTGGAAACATTCTCCAAATCCAAAACAATGAAATATCAAACTTCTCATAAATTCCCTCTCATTCTATATGTGTGTGTATTATCATTATTATTATTATTATTTGATATGGAGTTTCGCTCTTGTCCAGGCTGGAGTGCAATGGCACAATCTTGGCTCACTGCAACCTCTGTCTCCTGGGTTTAAGCGATTCTCCTGCCTCAGCCTCCCAAGTAGTTGGAATCGCAGGCATGCACCACCACTCCCAGCTAATTTTGTAATTTTAGTAGAAACAGGGTTTCATTATGTTGGTCAGGCTGGTCTCGAACTCCTGACCTCAGGTGATCCACCTGCCTCAGCCTCCCAAAGTGCTTGGATTACAGGTGTGAGCCACCACGCCCGGCCTGTGTGTGTGTATTATTTGATTGTGCTATTGCACTCCAGCCTGGGTGATACCCCATAGAGAGATACTCTGCCAGGCTGGAGTGCAGTAGCTCAGTTTAAAAAAAAAAAAGAAAAAAATCAAAGGAGGCAGAGAGAGCTAATAATATTCATATGACCTGTAAGTCATTGTCCTGTCATACTATTATACATAATGTAGCATAATATAGTCAGTAAATGTTACCCTGTTAAATCTTGGTTTCAAAGTCTATAGACACTGACAGGTGCTTTCAGGGAGAAACAGAACAGAATGTGAGGAGTTTCAGATCCAATACTTAGGTCCTTGTCAGCTTGAACTGAATCTCAAAGTACTAAAAAGCATCATAAAATAATGTTCAATGCATATTTCCCTAGGACTGAGAAATAATCTATTCCTAGGCATAAAGTCAGCCTTATGGTTTTCAAAAGGTAATTTGTTTTCTTAACTATCTGCTTCAAATGAAGGAATAGTTGTTTTGTTATCCAAAGGCAAAAGCCAAGATAATCTGGACATAAAGCTATAAAGTAAATTCTACTGAAGAATATATTAGAAAATTTGCAAGTAAATCAATACGAGGAAACTAAACGTAGGCATTAAAAGGCCTATATGTTGAGTCTTCATGGGCTGTGAGATTATCTATGTATACAAATAAATTTAAGAAAACATTATCTACCTATCCATTTATCTATCTCTGCCATTTTTATGCACAATAACCAAAAGGTAATTCCCACTGCAGGTAATTTTTGGTTATTTCCACTCAAAGGCTACCTCACCATGGAGTTACCACAATTCCTTGGTTTTCTTCAAAAAGGTATTAATATTTTCAAAGGACATGATTCAGGCAGCTTAATACAGAAAACAACGTCAATGCAGGAAAGAAAACAATAGCAACAAAGAGTGCAATAGGACACCAAGTCCAATACCAGCAGTCACTGCTCCAAATAATGTAATTTGTAAATCAATTAAAAGCTGCATTCATAGAGATCAGGCACTCATTCAGTTTACCAAACATAATCAAATTACACTTCCAGGGGGAATTAATGTCACAGTATATTTAGTCATTGCTACAACTGTCATTTCCAATAGGATAAATAAAATAATCCCAGGCCTCCATAGCTGTCACTGAGATAGTACAGAAGTGACTGTTGGCTCCACAAGCAGGATACCTGGCATGCAGTACCAGCTCAGCCACTTACTGGGTAACTGTGGGCAAAGTGCTTAGCATCTCTGCCTTCTTTCCCTCAATTTGTAAAAATGTACATAATATAATGTGCTAGCTGTGTCTGCTAAACAAGACAATCCATCAGAGGGTTGAGCATCATGCCTGGCACAGGATTTACATTTGATAAATCTTTAGTAGTTGTTATAATTTGAAGAATTAGGTTCAAAAACTTACAACCACACAATAGTTGGAAAAAGCAGCATTATTGTGCATGTTTTATTAAAAATATTTCTGGAGAATGTCTTTACTTGCTTTTAAAAGACTTTTGTCACCTTTGCTTTTAAAAGACTTTTGTGCTTTTTAGCACAAGTAGATGGCATAGTCCAATCTGTAGTACAGTCCCACAAAACACTGAAAATCATTTCCCAACCTTCCAGGCTGTTGTTCACAAAAGAGCAGCCTTCCAGGTTTCCCTGTTCCTTCTCCCCTATTCTGATCCTGTACAGCTGTCTATATTTTCATTTACACGTTGTAGGGAATAGACAGTTTTGAATCATTCATAGCCCTGTCCACTGCTAGGTTCTGACATATTTATTCAGGCTTGTCTGGGAAACTGGAAAAGGTATCGACTTTATGGAGAGAGAGACCTCTTAGGCAAGAATTCTTTCAAAGCAAAGACAGAATTGGGCAATTAATACTGACCCACCAATAAAATGAAGAGCATGGTATTTTATCTATTTCTTTGGTAGGGAGAGAAAAGTAGGTAAGAAAAATCCAGAATTTAATGAGGAGAGGGAAAAAGCATTATTGAGCATAAAAGGACACAGAGTCCAATGCTGGCAGTCACAGGTCCAAGGAATGACATTTGTAAATCAATTACAAGCTGCTTTCACAGAAATAAGATACTCATTCAGTGTCTGCTTCCCTCAAAATTGCATATGACATTGAGGTAGAATTAGCACTAGAGCGTTTTTGTTTCTACATATTAATTTGACATCTATTTCTTGGGCATTGATTCTGTGCCAGGAGACTTTATAGGTATTGGAGAATCAAAAGTAAATAAACAGTCATGAAACAAAACCTCATGGAACTTACATTACTATCTATCTGTGAATGCAGCCAAGGCATTCCCCCAAGATCTGTCTAGAATACAGAGGTACCAAGGACTTGAACTTATAGGATCTTTGGAAGCCTAGAAGGCCAGACTCTCTTTACCTAAAATATGCATTACCTAGCCTTGTAATTATCTTCACAAAATAGTACACCAGCTCAACCCTGAAATATCAGAGCAAGGCGGCAATGTAATTTTTGTCCTATGAGAGGTTATCAACAAAAATGAGGGGTTAGCAAGTCACTTGGTGTCATAGGCAAATATTTATATAAAGATATAATTGATTGCTAATGCTGTATGCGAAAGCACTTTTTGCTGGGTTTTTACAATCTGACCTATGAGAAAGAAATAATCAAAATCATTCTTTCCTTTGATAAGAACTTATACTTCCTCCTGGTAAACAGGGTGTCCAAGTGTGCACATATTTATGCCCAAGCATTTCTGAATGTAGCTTACAGCCTAAATCCAACATATATTGTGTGATATATTATAATAATTTGACCAGTTATTATTAAGAACACAAGCCAAGTTAAGGTCTTTTCAAGCTCTAAAATCCTACAATTTGTGTGGGAAATTGTACTGCAATTAATGGGCACTGTAATAGATCCTTTATATATAGAATTTCTAATCCTTATAACAATGTGAAGTAGTCTTATTTCCAGCTTTACAGACTTATTTTCAGAAAAAGGAAGGAAAAGGAGCTTATTTCTGCAAAAACAGTACAATGGAGTATCCAGGACTCAAATACAAGTCCATTGTACTTGAAAGCTGGTACTTTCAAACTAGTCCCTGGCCTTCACAAATATGTTAGTATGTTAAATACTTGTACTTAACCCTTACAAGAAAATACAGTGGGCATAATGTGAATTAGGGAGTGGACAAATATAATAGTGGAGAAAATAAATATTCCCTGCTTATGCTTTCTAGTTGGTGCCTTTTTTGGTTTTAATGGGTAATCTGCATTTATGGTATATTGATAAAATTTGTAGTTTATCTGTAAAGGTTGAGAATGACCAATGTAGAAAGGATATGTTTTAGCAAATGCAAGTGCATATTGGACTGATAGCCTGCTGACAGGAGCTGTACAGCTATGCCTGTGGTTAAAGCAGGCATCTGCTTTGATTGGTTGGTTCTCAAGTCATACTGGTTATCAAATATTTTAAATAACATTCCTGTTGCATGCTGTCAACTTCTGATTTTATATTCCCAACCCTGAACTCTCTACCAGATTTCAGACTCACATCCAATGACGTCTTTGGCATCTCCAACTCAGGAGTCTAATAGGTATTCTAAAATTAATGTGCCGGTAACAAATCCTTTCATCTTCCCATCACAACATTCTACCTCACTCCCAGCTGTGTCCACCTCCACTGAGACAACTCTATCCTCACAGTTTCTCTGGATTTATCCTTGACCTCTCTCTGTCCATAATAACTCATATCCAATCCACCAGTACATTCAGCTCTACTTTCAAAGCACATCCTGCATCTGACCACTGTGTTCTATTTCCATTGCTGCTACCTCAATTCAAGCCACCGATTACTCCAACTGTCTCCTAGCAGGTCTTCCAGCCTCTGCTTTGGCCCTTGCAGTCCTCTTGCAGCATAGCAGCCAGAGTGATCCTCTTCAACCAGAAGTCAGATCAGCTCACTCCTCTCTTCAGAACTTGCTGAAGCCCTCCTATCCTTAATAATCTACTCGGACTGCCATAACAAAACACCATTAGACTGGTGGCTTACACAACATATTTATTTCTCACAGTTCCGGAGGCTGGGAAGTCCAAGATCAAGGTACAGGCAAATTTGGTTTCAGATGAAGACCTGCTTCCTGGCTTGCAGATAGATGGCCCCCTTGTCACTGTGAACTCAAATAGTGGAGAGAGAGCTCTAGTCACTTCCTCTTCTTATAAAAACACTCACGCTATCAAGGAGGTCCCATCTTCATGATCTCCTCTAAATCTAATTACCTCTAAAGGGCCCTATCTCTAAATACCATCACATTGGGGATTTGAACTTCAACATATGAATTGGGGAGGTGGGCACAAACATTCAGTCCATAACAATCCCACTCAGATGGAAAGTAAAGGTCTTCACAATGACCTAGGGCCCCTGCCCTACTTCCAGTCCCCTCACTCCACACCACACTATGCTGCATGGCCTGCAAGCTGCTCCCATCCTTGCCAGATAAACCCCCATCTCACTACCCCTTAGAGGCTCCTCCCTCAGGTATCTGCAAGGCATGCTCCCTGACTTCCTTCCACACTTGGCCCACTTACCATAATCTGACCACAATCTGACCACAATATGACAGGCTTTTTTTATTTGTTTATTCACAGCCCCTGTTCCCAGAATAGAAGCAGTATAAGGGCAAAGAATTTTGTCAGCTTTGCTTATTGATGTATCACAGGTGTACAGAAGAGTACCTAACATGACAGATATTAAAAAAGATTTGCTAAATGGATGAATAAATGTATGAGGACAATTTTGTAGGACACGTGTAATTCTAAATATACAATGATTTTCCTACAATTCTCAAAATAGTTCTATATTCAAAATGGAACATATCCCCCAATGTTTCATTTTGTTTTTCAAAATAATGTAAAATAAAATATATCAAATGGAATAAGAAAGTTGAGTGAGTGAGTCTAAGAGGGAGTTAAAGTCCCATTAGCAAGTTTCATAAACTTGTGAGTCCTTATCTTTCCTCCTGTGGTTTCATTTGTATTTGGTTTCAGAAATTCTCATCGAGGAAGCTAAATGCAATCTTTTGTTTTGGTTTGGGCACATAATCAAAAATTTTTAGCTGCAAGAAAACAGTAATCCAACTATTCAGGGGGTTTCCTTGAAATCTGTCCCTTAGAGATTTACTGTGGTATAAACTTGGATGTAAATTTCTATAAAATATCTACCTAGGAAGATATAATCTGAACTTTTTTCCTAGAAACTATAAAAGTACACATTTTTTTTTAATCCATAGGTTGGTTCCCAGGCCTCTACCATGCAGAGATAGGCTGCCTGGACATACCAGAGTTGAAATGTTTTTGAAATAATAATAAATACTAAATAATAATAAATACTAAATCTTTATACAGTTTCCAGGATTTGACACCAGTTTGTGGACCAAAAGCAAGAAAGAATAGCAGCCTTGTCCAAGCCCATCCTTAACCAAACATATAGCTCTCCATCCTCCTTCTCCCAAATATGGTATTACACATCCACTCATCTCTTAGTGCCTTCCAATTTGTAGCTTCAGAGCTGGCTCCCCTGATCACTCCTCTAATTTCTGAATCCTTTCTGAAGCTAAGAGCTAACAGTGCACTCAAATAATTCTGTGCATTTACCCATGCATAATATGAAGAAGCTAATTCAAGTGAAGAAAAGGGAAGGCTGACTGAGGTTAAAAACAATGGAGCTTGAACAGGAACACAGAAACAGCTCTGACTAGAAAGACAGGTGTGTGTGTGTATGTGTGTGTGTGTCAGAGACAGAAGGATAGAGACAGAGAGAGAGAAAATTTGAGAGTGGGAACCACAGAGCACAAGAAGAAAAATGAGATAGAGGTTTGGAGAATATGAGCCTGCGAACAATGAGAGAGGTAGGAGAAAGTATATTATTTTCTTTTCTGAGGTGTGATTCCCATAGAGAATATCTCCCTTGGGGGTAGGTTAGATACCTACGAGATGCAAAACACAATGTGCTCTCAGTTCTGCCAGGTACATATTTAAGAGAACAGTTTGGAGTTAAAGGTAGAATGCAGTTGGACCACTTTATAACCTTAGCAAAGCGGGGTTTAAGAAAATAATAGAGGAATTTCACTCTCAGCAAACAGGGACCTGTTTCGGTAATGCGAACTCATTAGGGCTATGCTCCTACTCAGCTTTTGTGCAAGCAACTCTAGATAAAGTGCTACTCAAATATCCCCCAAATCTGTCACCAACTTAATTCAGACACCAGAAAAAAACAAAAACTTAGAGAAACAGAGGTAGTCCAAAGACATGTTAGGGAGACAATTGTGGTAAGGTGGAATTTCTCATGTGAATTTAAAAGTTTATTTAAAAGTGAATGTAAAAATCTACTTCCTCCTCTTCCCAGGCAGCTAATAACCTAGCTTTATTGTTAATCAGAAAAAAATAATAAATATAAAAATGTAGGTTTGGCACGGTGGTTCACGCCTGTAATCCCAGCACTTTGGGAGGCCAAGGTGGGAAGATCACCTGAGGCCTGGAATTCGAGACCAGCCTGGGCAACATAGCGAAACTTTGCCTCTACCAAAAAAAAAAAAAAAATAGCCCGGTGTGGTGGTGTGCACCTGTAGCCCCAGCTTCTCAGGAGGCTGAGGGAGGACTGCTTGAGCCCATGAATTTGAGGCTACACTGAGCTATGATCTCTTCACTGCACTCCAGCCTGGGCAATAGAGAAAAATCCTGTCTCTTAAGGACAAAAATAAAAAGAAGGAAAAAGAAAAAAAATGCATAGTAAATTGTGAAAGCAGTGGATATGAATAGGCAAGATTATTATACCATACTCTGTGCTGGATCTAATGACAATTTGTTTGCTAGGCCCTGAAGATAAAAAGTGAATGAGGTCCCTAAGGCCAAATGGCTTTTTGTGGGGGGAATAAGGATATGTAAATAAGTAATGTGGTACCAGAGCCACTACTAGCCTGCATAGGGCCACTGTGCAAATCAGAAAAAGGAAGCCCTGCACCAGCGCTGACTCACTCCTTCAGCCAGGCACCTTTGTACACTACAACACCCACCCTAGAATACCAATTAGGGGCATCAGGGAAGGCTGGGGGGTGATGCCAAAGATGAGGCCTAAACAGAAAGGAGGAGTTCAGCCAGACAAAGTGGGAGGGAGAAGAAGAGCGTCTCCCACCAAGAGAATGTAAGTGGAAAAGTACCAAGAGAAGATGGAAAAATAAGAAATTACAGTTTTGGGGAGGGAGTCTGTATGGCTGGAGAGTAGCAAACAAATAGGGGAACTCAAAATATAAAGGACTTTGCAATGTCAGGATTTTAGAATTTAGCCTGATAAATTAGGGAGCCATGGGAGGATTTTGAGGAGAGTGACAGATCCGAGTTGCATTTTTAAAAAACCCCATTCTTCATAGCAAAGGGAAGAATTCAGAAGAGGGAAGGCTTATTAAAGCATGTGGGTTAGGGGGAGGGGATAGATTTAAAAGCCACTGAGAAAGTTGAAGGGAGAACTGCTAAGTGCTTATATAAGTTGGCAAGGGAAGGAGAGGTAGAGAGGATGACACCAGATTTCTAGCTTGGGCAAGGCTTATAGCAGGGAACACAAGCAGAGAAGCAGGTCTGGGTGGGAGCTGAGTGGGGCAAGGGTGGAAAACAAGTTCCATTTTATGCACAGTATGATTACCAAAGTACCAGAATAGCATCCAAGTGAATATTCCACTAGCTAGTAGGAAACGTGTCTGGAGAGAAACGTTAAAACCTCTAAAATAGATTTGGGAGTTACTAATATATGAATGAAATGCCCTGCGTAGATTTAAGAGGTAGGCAGAAGGGGAATTCACGAAGGAGATTAGGAATGAATGGTTGGAGATAAAGAAGAAATCTAGAAAATACTTATGTTACAAAAGCCAAAGGAGGTAACTCATATGGTTTCCTGGGCCATATTGTTTCCTTACGTACAAGACAGACTCAATCCCCATCCTCAGAGAGCTTACTATCTATCAGAAAAGTTAGATGATTAGGTAAATAGTCCTAACAAAACCTAATCAGTATTGTAATGGGGAAGGTATGGAGCATTCAACTATAGAGAGACATCAAGTAAGACCAGAACAAGAAGGTTCCACTGGACTTAGTAATAAGGAGGTGGTGATAATCACTATGAGAGCAATTTCTTAGGAACACATAGAAGAAGCCTGAAAGCAGACGCTTAGAAAATAAATGTGCATTAAGGAAATGACAATAGAGTGCTTCTCTTTCAGAAACTGTTCAACAAGAAAGGAATGAGGGGAAAATTACTTACATAGCTAATTGTCTGTTGACAACTTTTATAAGGTAGAAGGATAATTACCTGGCATCATCCATAGACAGACTCATTTTAACTTTCATAATTTGGAGACAACATTGTTCCTTCCTTTCTAAATCTTATCCTTTCAGATTCTTAAATGTGTTCAATGCTCTGTAGAAAACATTCCACAGACAATATGAGCCTCTCTCTTTATATCTCTAATTTGGGCACTTAATTACATGCTTCTTTGAACTGCTGAGTATTTTCATGTGTAAATGTCCTAACTTCTCTTACAGGAAGAAAGCCCCTTACAAGTCAACAGTGTTTGGTATCATGTTGTTCACCTTCTAGTGCTTTATTTAAATAAAAAGTAATACAGCTGCACAGAGAGCTTTCACAGCTTTGAGCAGATGAGGAAGTGAAGAACAGAAGGCTTGTAGAGTAGAAACATGAACTTTGGAATCAAACAAATGTATTTGAATCCTGGTTCCACCCTTCATAAACTAAGCAACCCCAGTCAAATTAATATATCTATTTGAGACTGAACTTTTTCACTGTACAGAGCACATAGTAAAGGCTCGATATTTACTGAACTAAATTAAAAACACTTGATATAATATTTATATCTGCAGAGTAGTTGAGAAAATTAAATAAGATAATTATGTTAAGTGTTTAGATACAATATGTTTCAGATTGACACTATCTAAGGATCTTTCTTTCTTGCAGATTTCATTCTCTAGACCTGTTACGAAAGTGATAAAGAGGACAGGGAGCCTAGAGAGCTACAGAGTTTAATAGAAAGTTCCTGGCTCAAAGCTTTACTGGGAATTTAGTTTTCTAAAACATTATCACTAGCACAACGTTTTTTATAAATTGTGGCTTTGAAAACCTGTATCACAATCACCTGGGTGCTTGATTTAAAAAATAATAAGTTGCCGGGCATGGTGGCTCATGCCTGTAATCCCAGCACTTTAGGAGGCCGAGGTGGGTGGATCATCTGAGGTCGGGAGTTCAAGACCAGCCTGACCAACATGGAGAAACCCCGTGTCTCTACCAAAAATACAAAATTAGCCAGGCATGGTGGCACATTCCTGTAATCCCAGCTACTCAGGAAGGCTGAGGCAGGAGAATCACTTGAACCCGGGAGGTGGAGGTTGCGGTGAGTCAAGATCATGCCACTGCACTCCAGCCTGGGCAACAAGAGCGAAACTCAGTCTAAAAAAATTTAAAAATAATAAAAAATAATAAACAATAAATAAATAAAACAAGCAAACAAAAAATTAAAAAGTGGTAGATTCCTAGAGCCCGCTCCAGATCAATTTGTAATGCTGAAGCTCAAGAATCTGCCATTTTATCAAGGGAATCTAACATATAAGAATGCTTCAGAACCACCCTCTAAAAGTCAAACTCACCCCAAATGTATTTTGCCAGTTACTGTGCTCCAAAAACAGGAAACAAGATTAGTTTTCAGACTTCCCTGGATATAGGAATTATTTATTATGATTTCCATTCAGGATGGGCTCTGCAGAGTCATTTCTATCTCAAGGAAGCTATAAGTTATAATCTTAGTAAAGTGAAAAATTGAGGGACAGGTAGGAGGATTCCAGAACTACTCCCTTCCAGGGTTGGAGAAAATCAAGGCATATCTGAACACTACCAGAATGTCCACTCACCTCCATTCCCTGTCTCCCACATTCCTCACACATACAAGTGTCATCAGAAGTGGACAGATGGACATGCTAAGGCTGAATTAAACCCAAACTGATACCAACTTAGCAGCGGAGTGAAGCTATTTATCCCTCCTCCCTTTTTTGGGCAACAATAGCCATCTAGGCTAAAGGCTTATTTTCTTTTCCATAAAGAGATGGCAAAAGCATACTTCTCCTCTGATAAGGCTGTCTGTGGAAGCTGGTTAGAACAAGGGACATTCTTTTTTTCTTTTTCTTTTTTTTTTTTCAAGATGGAGTCGCGCTCTGCTAGAAAGGCACCAACTGCCCACCAGGGCAAGGGCAAAGCCTTCATGATCCAAAGCCTCCCATTAGGCCCCCTCTCATACAGTTTCTACCCTACACCTTGCTGCACTGGAAATTATGGTTGCAATAAGAGTTTGGGCAGGGTCAAGTTACATCCAAACCATAGCAGAGACCATGCTAAACTATATCTATAAAATAAAAGAAAGATACTACAATTTAAAATGAAAAGCTAGAAAAAGGGAACATCTGAACAGTATTACCAAATCATTTACAAATAGATATGTAACAAAAGAAGAGCAGAAACTATCTGTGTCCTATAAATCAAGATTAGAAATTAAACAATCAAAATACCAAATGTTTTAATCCACAAAACTGAAAGTCTTTCCTGGAAGACAAGTGACATTACATTTCTTCAATCTATATTCATTCAAATATATGCTAAAAGTATTATATTTCAATAGAAAGGGATAATTCTGTCTTCCAAGATATAAGATACAAACATGATAAAAAAGTTTTTAAAAAAAGTCCAACAAGGGCAGAAGCACTAGTGTAGAGAGTTGGGAGGATAAAAGGGCAAAGCCAGAGGCAAGTATGATAGGTTCAGATCAGAAACAGGGCTGTCTATGAAGTCATACCTGGGTGCTCATGCACCCAAATTTAAAGTGTGTAGAACAAATAGTCCAGGGCCCAATAAAAGCAAGTCAAAAAACAAGAGCTAAGCCAGCTGTATCAATCACCAGTCATAAGAACAGGGTCCGGACTGTGTTCATCATTTTTGGAGGTCAGGGAATTCTGATAAGCTGCTGACAGAAAGTAAGAATTGTTCTCTATTTTGGCAGCTCACAGTCTACATCTATGTACAAAAGTAAGTGAATGAGAGTAGGTCAGTATCTCCCACGCTTAGCAGCGGAAACCATCAGACTTTCCTCCCACCGACCATCTTGATAATCTGCTGGATTTGGCTCTTTGCCTTGATTCCAAGTGCTTATTTCCCTTTCCAGGGGAAATTTAAATTATATCTGATAAGGGCCAACAAGTTCAGAGTTGTATCACCCTCTCTGAGTAATATCAGACTACTCCTCAGTGTCATGTTAAACTCAAATTAAACTGGACAGAGTATTTATGGGGACCCAGGCCAGCTTTACAAGTGAAAAATAGGCCCAAAGAATAAAGTAATTCTCTTCATGAGATATTTGCAAATCAAGGTGAATACAATATGCTTTTCTGTACTCTGAAAAATGGTCTTATATTACATCAAATTATGTCATTCTAGTTTATACCTATTATTGTCAGAAGAAGTTTGTGTAATTAAGAAAGGCAAGCTCACAACTGAAGTGATTCTAACTTTGACTTCATAAGACGTGCAGACCCTGGTATACTCAGGGTGTTTTGAGAAAGATGGGGAAACAGATGGGTTCAAAAAGAAAAAGACCTCAATAAAATCAGAAGAAACAGAAAAAATAATATCTTGTCAGATTCTTGGCTTAGATGGTTACAAATCTGCCAAATGAAGACAAAGCTGACCTATATCATAAATGGGACAAAAGTTTAAAAGTAAGAGCAAAAGTCAGGAGTCAAAATTATTCTAGAAGCAGCACTTGTGTGTAAATTCAAAGGTAATCTGAAATAGATCATCAGTTCCCAAGGAAAATGAATAAAGGGAAGCCTTGAGTAGTCTCAGCTTAAGTCTAAAATTCATAGGTTACCTAGGTGTGGTGGTTGGCAGATGAAGGCACCAAGAGGTAGGCAGCTATTATCCAGAGCTTTATCATGAGGCAAGAAATCTAGTCAATGGGCAACCGAGAAGGTAGGTAACAATAAGACCAACAGCAAGACTGAAACAAAACCAAGCAACAGGTGTAAGGCTTTTTGTATCACATTAGACCTAGAATTGAGAGCTGAGCTAAACCAGAAATCAGAGTTGAAATGACACTATCTTCCAGAATTAGAGAAACTCAGAAGTGGGAAGCAAAGCAGATCATCACTGCACCCAGATATTTTAGCTTCTCCCTTCTAGGATTCAGAATCTACAAAGTGGCCGGGAGACACAAATAAAGCTATTTGTCAGATCCAAGAAAAAAAAGCATTAGGGAGTTCAGCAGACCTCCAAGGTCCAAGTAATCCACAAAGATGAAGTCATCTCACTGTAGAGCAGGGGTCAGGAAACTATAGCTCAATTGCCAAATTCAGCTCACCACCTATTTTTGAACAGCCTGTACTGAGAATTTTTTGTTGTTGTTGTTGTTTTTTGTTTTTGTTTTTGTTTTTTGAGACGGACTCTCGCTCTGTCGCCCAGGCTGGAGTGAAGCGGCACAATCTCGGCTCACTACAAGCTCCACCTCCCGGGTTCACGCCATTCTCCTGCCTTAGCCTCCTGAGTAGCTGGGACTACAGGCGCCCGCCACCACGCCCAGCTAATTTTTTGCATTTTTAGTAGAGACAGGGTTTCACCATGTTAGCCAGGATGGTCTCGATCTCCTGACCTCATGATCCGCCCGCCTCAGCCTCCAAAAGTGCTGGGATTTTAGGCATGAGCCACCATGCCCGGCCTGAATGTTTTTTACATCTTGAGATGGATTAAATGAAATTCAGATTTTAGTGTCCATAAGTAAAGGTTTATTGGAACATAGCCATACCTATTCATTTATGAAGTTTCTGTGGCTGTTTTTGTGCTACAATGACAAAGAGGTAGCACTGCCAGCACAGCCCAAAATATTTACTATTGGGTGCTTTACAGAAAAGTTTGTCAATCCTTGTTCCAGGACAGAGCTCCCAAGTGACAGTGAGAGATAACCAACCTTTCTCTTTCTTTCCTGACTACTGTAGTTTGATAACTTCATTTGAAAAGCAGCTTTTTGCTTGGAAGGGTAGAGTAGTCAAATAAAGGGCTACCCTAGAATAAGGTTTATCCAACCTTATCTGAAAGGCTAGGTAATCCAGCAAGGAGAAAAAAAAAAATCCATGACATTTATTGATAGTGCTGTTCTGCTTTCTGGAGTATCATCAAAATGCTCCCGAGGAAGGTAAGGAAGCAGCTAGCAGTTTTAGGTGTCTGCCACATAAAAGAGACCATGAGCCCCTCACACTCCTGACAAAGATGATTCAAATGCTGCAGGGTGTATGAGAAACACATCAAAGATCACCAAAAGGGTCTGGGCCAAGATTCCAGCCAGCAGAATAGGAATTTCAGAATACGATAAGGAGATGTTAAGGAAGGTCAGGCAGTAAAAAGAGGTTTGCTGACTCATGTGGTTTGTTGACTTAGCAAGTCAGGGAGAAGTCAATTGTTTGCTCTCCTGTTTTACAGTCTTTAGGTGTGGGCCAGCCCAGGGCCATTGATAGTCATTTTAGCCAGAAGGAAAGCAAAAGCCTGCAGATGAACTTAAACAAAACAGCTGTGCCATAAGTTAAAATTTATGCTTTTCTCTTAATAGAAGTGTTTGTTCCTCTTCAGATAATCTAAACTTGAACTTAAAAAAAATATATGTACCCACACGTTGTTTAACTCCTATAGCATGTATTTATTGAGCGCAGACTCTACGGCAGGTGCTTTTTTAGGTACAATAATAAACAAGAAAAGTCCATGCCCTCATGAAGTTTTACATACTACTGGGTAGAAAACAATCAAATCAACAAGTAAATATACAAAATCTTGTTAAGTGCATCAGAGATAAAGCAAGAAGGATGCTAGGGAGTGCTGGGTGGGGCATGGGGGAGGAAGGCTGCTCTTTCACACACAGCTGTCAGGGCAGGCCTCCACTTTGGATGAGCAAAGGCCTGCAGGAAGTGAGCCAGCATGCCTCCTTGCTGTATCCTCAGAAAGAACTCCAGGCAAAGGCCCAGCAGGAGGATATCAGGAACAGGTGAAGAAATGCAAGGAGCCCAGAGGGGTTGGAGCAGAGCAACTGAGGGGGAGAGAAGCTAAGATCAGAAGAACAATAAGCTAAGAAGGGAGAGAGGGTGTTCATTGTGGAAGGCCTTGCAAGCCTTGCATGCCATCCCCTCGTTCTCTGAGTGCAGTGGGAAGCCACTGATTAGTTTCCGAGGAGAGGAAAGACATGGTCAGACTTGCAGTAGCCAGAGTAATCCTGTTAAAATTAAATCGGATATTGTCACTTCACCATTTAAACATTAAAACCTTCCCAAATGAAAAACAAATAACTGCATCATAAACCTCCAACCTATTTATTATCTCAAAAAATAATGTTTTCTAGTTTACCGAAAAACCTCATGATAGCCTTACATAATTTTTTAAAAAATTTCACTGGAAGGTGTTTTGCAGTTGTTACACCATAGTAACACATCACTGATTCAGATTAATTGGGGAAAAGACCCGTCAAAATTAGTTAAAAGACTAAATTATTCTATTATATTTAAATAGCTTTCATTACCTTTTTGTGTGTGAAGGAATCAGGATTGCCAAGGTTGCCTAATAAAATCTGTTCTGATGAATAGATTTATAAGGATTGTAATTAGCATATGTCAGCATCAGACTATGCTACCTTGGCTCTGCTTACCGTACAATTTCTATGCTTCAATTTAATTAGATACAATATAAATTGTTTCAAAAGCAGTTTATTTTCTTTAATAGATTTGTCCTTTACTTAAGAAGATGCACTGCCTACTTTTTTTATGAAAAAGAAAATTGCATGGCCCCAGAAGTAAATCAAATAATGCTGGCTATTTATCTTTTTGTTGTAATTGTAACTCTTACTTTAAATCACTGAGTTCCTCAATATTAGTACTATGGCATTTTGGAGCAGATAATTCATTATTGTGAAGGGCTCTTCTGTGCATTGTAGGATGCTTAGCAGCCTCCACCCAAGAGATGCCAGAATGGCACCCACAACTGTGACAGTCAAAAATGTTTCTACACATTGTCAAATGTCTCCGGAAGGAAGAGAGAGTAGAGGGGGCAAAATCATCCCAGGTTGAAAACTGTTACCTTAAATGAATGATCCTCTGTCTTTCTGTGGGGGAAAAATGGTTCCATCTCTTTTCTCTCATCCATATTATGAATATATTCTTAGAAAATGACCAGAAGATGTAATTTAATTTTGAATGGCAGATTTATATAAGAAATATCAAAAGAAAAGGTCACTGGAATAATCAACACATATGAGAATAACATTTGAAAACCATGTTTTATCAGAGTTCTCTTAGAGAGTTCCTAACAAATAAGCTTAAATGCACATTTGGCACTACAACTTTTAAATGAGAAATTATTTGGGAGAAGGAGATTGGCAGAAGGAAATAATGACCTTCAAAATAGTAACTCATTATAGCTTTAACAAAATTAAGACTGTAGTTAAAATTTATAGTCTTCCTACTTTTCTAAGAGTATAAATTGATATAACCCTATTTAAAATTGGGGTAGTTGGATTATTATTGTAAAAAGAAGCCTATACTGCATTTTTGTACATCTCAAAATATTTTGTTCCCAAATATAATTTCCTTTTATTCATCTAGAATAAAAATTTAGCTGTTTTATATATTAAATGTTTTAAAATATATTCAGAATGAAAGTAATCTAAGAAAATGGCTGTTGTTATTGCTCCTTAAAAGAAGTCAAATTTTTACAAATAAGCATTTTCATCATTCTGTCTATGGCCCCCTTGGTAATATACTGTTGGGCACGTTCATATGCTCTCACTATCCCATACATGTAGATGACTCAAAACATATATTCATACTCTCTACAGCTCTATGTGGTATCCCACATGCAAGTCTGATGGGATATACACAAATGAAAGTAGTTGAGCCAACAAAAGATACATGTTTGGGAAAGGCACAAGGGACCGGTAAGAAGTGAGCTTTACTTTAGTGGACAGAATGGGGGGAAAAAGCACCCTAGAAATAAGTGCTCAACCACAGTTAGGTGGTGATGGAGTTGCTACAGACGTTATGTTGCTTTTTCAGCAGATACTTTGAGCACCCAACTTGACTGCTCTTGACTCAGCAGCATTCAGTCTTAGTCTAAGAAAGATGATCACAGTCACAGCCAAATATTTCCATCCTGAAGAGGATGCTCACATGGTAAGAAGCTTATATCTTCTGCCAAAAAGTGAAAGATCAGGGGTTTGGGTAGTGGCATTTGCGACTTCTAGTCTTCCTTTTTTGTCCATGTTCCCCCATAATGGAAATGTTCCAATCCTTAAAAAAATAATGTTTTCAAATCAGTGAAATTTCTAATTTCTCCCAATGTTTTTTCCTCCTTTGTTGCCTATTGTCAGTTAAAGGGATCAACATCTCTCTAGTCACGCAAACTAGAAACCTCAAAGAAACCTCTTAGCCCATCTGCCACAAGTTAATTGTTGCTCAAGATCTGATTCCACAGCAACATCTTTGGTAGCTTTGCCCTCCTTGCCATCCCTGATCCCATTGCTATGGTTGAGGAACTCATCATGCCTTACACCTACATTCACTCCAGAGACTTTCAGATGCTCTTTCAACACCAATTTTTCCTGACACCACATAATTATGCTTATTACTACTAAATCTGTCCTAAAAAACTGATATAATCATGAGTCGACTAAATAAATCTTAATTAATTCTTTATTTTCTCCAGATTAAAAATCAAATTCCTTCCCAGACTCTCCATTATTATTCTCAATCAACTTTTATTTCTGACACACATATATAATAACGCCAATCATTACAGGTTTTCAGTCATTCAAGTGCGACAAAGACTTTTAACTCTATTTTTTCTTTTGTGGGCCTGTCTTTCTATAATGCTCTTCAGTCCAATCCCTACAACTTTATGGCAAAATTCTGTTCACCATCCAATATATTTCAGTTAAGATTCTTAGCTTGTATGTTAGTGCTCCCATGGCACCTTATTAGTAGTTTCATTATAGTATATAATCACACTATATTTCAGTTGCATACATAATTATTTGTCCTTTAAAATTGTGAACTCTTTTTGGTCAAGGAATATGTCTCATTCATCTTTGTAGTCTACCAGTACTTTAGCTACAACAGAGTTAGCGCTATTCAACTCAATCAAGCTTAACCATTAGAAATGGAAGACAACTGGCCAGGCGTGGTGGCTCATGCCTGTAATCCCAGTACTTTGGGAGGCCGAGGTGGGCAGATCACCTGAGATCAGGAGTTTGAGACCAGCCTGGCCAACATGGCGAAACCCTGTCCCTACTAAAAATACAAAAATTAGCTGTGTGTGGTGGCACGTGCCTGTAATCCCAGCTACTCGGGAGGCTGAGGCAGGAGAATAGCTTGAATGAACCCAGGAGGCAGAGGTTGCAGTGAGCCAAGATCGTGCCACTGCCCTCCAGCCAGAGTGACAGAGTGAGACTTCAACTCAAACAAAGAAATAGGAGACAACTTCCAAATTATGTATAGTTTTATTTTTCTTATCTTTCATTTTACCTTTCCCCAGATTAATATAATTTCCTTTAATTCCAATATCAAATGTGGACATAAAACTAATCTAATGATTGTTTAAGAAATTAGACGGCTGGGTGTGGTGGCTCATGCCTGTAATCCCAGCACTTTGGGAGGCTGAGGTGGGTGGATCACGAGGTCAGGAGTTCGAGACCAGCCTGGCCAACATGGTGAAACCCCATCTCTACTAAAAATACAAAAATAGCCAGGCATGGTGGTGCATGCCTGTAATCCCAGCTGCTCGGGAGGCTGAGGCAAGAGAATAGCTTGAACCTGGGAGGCAGAGGTTGCAGTGAGCCGAGATCGTGACACTGCACTCTAGCCTGGATGACAAGAGTGAAACTCCATCTCAAAAAAAAAAAAAAAGAAATTAGAGAAAAATATAATGGGTGGAAACAAATTAAATTAACATTTCATTTATTAAATTTTTCAAAAGATTTCGAAAAAACATTTCCAGATCTAATCAAAATATAATGGGATGTTTTATCACTTCAATTTGAAAGTGAGCATTTTGCTCTAAATGAAAAATAGATAAGACAAAGCATAGCATGTTTTTTGACAAATATCCAACACAAATTCATGTGAATATGCAAAACTGCCTATGCCTATGGAAATAATAATTATGGATGTCTCAAGGAAAGTGTTTACAAAATAATGAGATTCTGCACATGTATTAGTAAGTAATATCATTTTCTGAACAGAACAAGTGAAAGAAAAGACATCCTACACTTCAAAATAATGCTCACGAAACATACTGTTATCTTCTTTGGTGAACAACTTGGTATGCTACAAAAATTTTTCCTCTTATTCTATGCATTTGGTTAAAACACACAATAGCCCATCACTAAAAACTGAAAGTAATCTTTGGAGACTGAATTATAAAAACTACTGAACTTCAACAGTGTGAGCAAAATCTTCTGTCATTTCACAGGATATGTTATAAATTACTACTGAAGTGAAAAACGTGAAAGAATATTTTAAGAGAATTCAAGTCATATCACTGTTTACTTTCCTTCAACATAGACCATTAGACTTCTAAACTAAATAATAAAATTAACAAGTTATTTCAAACAATAACCTGACATGATCATAAATCCATGGTGAGCTCATTAGAGCTAGATATGATTTTGTTAAACTGATGTACTATAAATCAAATTCAGAGAGCAAACACTTCTACCTATGGAGCATTTTTAAAGAAAACAAATTCCTGTGTTCAAATGTGTAAATAATAAGAATATGAAGCTACCTTTTCTACTGTGGCAAATTCCTACCAAAGTAAACTGCAGCTAGGAAAAAAAGTGACAAAAAGAAATGCTATAATTGAACTCTAAAGTACACTTTCAAAAGTTATCTCAAACCCCTAAATTGGTATTCCTCTGTATACTCTAAGTAAGTTATAAGCAATGATTGTTTTAAAAAAATTGAGGGCTTATCTGATGTAAGAATTCATCATCACATTACTATCTGGTCCTGATTTCTTTTTCTACAATGTAAAGCAGAGTTTTAAAATGTTTTGTCATACATTGTACAAATTATATTAATTACTATTGTTTCCTTAGCCTTCATTGTTTTCTGACAATTATTTTATTCATTTTCATGATCAGTAAGAGAGAAAAGTAAAAGACTGTCTTGTACAGCGATAATAATTAATTCAGGGCCAGATGTGACCACCTAAAAGATGTAAAAGATAAGCCAGATTTTTTACCAAGATACTAAAAATTGTCATTAAAATATAATTAGTTCTATAATACCTATATTTTCCATAAGCATTTGAATAATAATGTCATGCTAATATTTCCCTCTGGAACAAGGACTAATAATAAATACTAAAATTAGATAATTTAAGCAAGGATTTTTTAATCAATGTTTATAAAATTTTAAAATTATTTTCTGCACTTATTAAAGAATAGTATGACTAATTCAGAGTTATACAGCAGCGATACAGTGCAGTATTGAAGAGCACAGATTGTCATGCCAGAATATGCAGGTTTGGATTCCAACTCCACCATTTACTAACTGCCTGATCTTGATTAAATTGTGTAACCTCTTTAGGCTTTAGATTCCTTGCCTGTAAAATGGAGACAAGAATGATATTTGTTTGTTATGAGAATTAAAATAACTAATGCATGGAAAACACTTTAGACCAGAGCCTGATAACACAGTTAATAGTTTTATCATTAGTTCTAGTGGTGAAGTTCTTTGGAATTCCAATCTAATTTTTTTTTCTAATTCGGCCTACTTCACATCTTAATACAAGTACTTACCATAGGCAAGTTTATTATCAATGCTACTGGAATAAAGGGAAAAGAGGAATGATTTTTAAGTGAACAAAAAGTGTTATCACTTCCCCAACTATCTTCTGGGCTCCCTAGCGACATGAGTTATTCTTCCCCATGGTGAGAAAAGGGAGTGGAGGTGGGATTCTGCACAACTCAAGCCCCAACAAAACAAAGTACTCCTCATGTTTGGGATTATTTTTCTTTCAAATTTCAGTTTAGGGCCGACTTCTGAGCTGAAGAAATTACTATAAACTTCCAATACCCTGTTAGGGGATTCTACCCTGAATGTAGTGGAGACAGGGCAAGATGGAAATCAAATAGGCTTAGTAGAATAAATCAGAACTATTTCAGTAAATATTATGCATTGATAGATCAAAGTGTAATCTATGTACTATAAGTAACTCTAAAAATGAAACTATCCTTCATTTGTAACAGAAGGACTCTTTTTCTCCAGTTTCATGTATAAATCTACCTACTTCTAAATTAACTTAGTGAAGTGGCTTTTTCATTGATACATGGAAAAAAATATTGACAAAGAAACCAGTAACAAATGTACTCAGATTCAAATTCACCAATGGAAAAGATTTTGAAGCATTATCTTGAATATACAATTTTTATATTCAAATTTTGTCTTTTTAGTAAAATAAGCATTTACTTAAAAAGACGATAAATTTAACTTTCTACCAAGAATTATAAAGAATACATAACTGGCACCATATTGTATAAACAAAGGAAAAAAAGCTAAAACAGATAATTAGAATTTTTTGAACATATTTATTTGAAGAGAAAAATATATCGCTGTGCTAGTTCTCACATTTATTAAAAGAGAATAATCAATTTTGCAGACTGTTATATATTCTAAGAAGTAATTTGGCCTTCTCACCAAATAATCATAATAAAGAGCTGAGATTTAATCAAATAAGGTAAATATAAAATAAGATAATTTGCTTTTTGCTACTAAATAGTATTAAAATACTTTTAATCTGTTAGAGAGTCACTAGAGAAAGTAGTTAACAAGAAAAATTACTTACTCTTGTTTGATTACAAACTACTCTAATTTTTAGGCAGAACCATCAATAAGGGAGAGGTCACAGAAAAAAACTGCGTCGCTTTCTTAGACTGTTGCTCAACTTCTGATGCCATTGAAAAAGACTTTTAATTGTCATTCATAAAACTATTAACTTTGTTTTCTCAGTAGATCAATTAACATTTACTCTGCATTAACTCTACTCTTCTTTCCTATGTGATTTTGTTTCCAAGGGTTCAAAAACTGGAATATTGGTACAATAAACACATAAGGCAATTTACTCATTTATAAGTAAATACTGGGTATATTTAAGAGAAATATTTAGTAAGCTTAACCTGTACAATGTGATTGTATGGGTTCCTTACAGAACCTGAGGAACCTAGAAGACAACTGCATGCAGAGAAGGATAAAAAGGCAAAATTTATGGTTAAAATCATCTGCTAAAGACAAAAGAACAAACAAAAAATGACAGTTAATTTATTTCATAAAAACTTGAGGAATGGTATTTGAGCGAAAAATTTCTTGTGAAAACTAGGGAGATCTAAGATTGTGGTTAAAATATTACTTTTACAGGATGACATCATATCTCCAAAGTCACCAAAAAGAAGAAACACTACGTGCTAAACGAAGTAATACACAGATTGTGTGTTTTTCATCTCTTTTTAGATCTGGGTATGATCCTGGGCATATTACTTCACTACTTAAACCTTCAATTTGTAGAATCTAGGTTGGTCTTAGGTAATTCCTAAGAGCTCTTCCAGTTTTAAATTTTAGGAAAAGAAAATTATATAGATCCTAAATGCCATTATTACTCATAGGAATGGGAAACATGCTTTTATAGAAAGTAAAGGCTCTTATATATTCTTTAATCTCCACCTGTCAGCACATGAAATTTTATGTACTGTTATATATGTGAAACAATAAATCATCTTTAAGCAGAGCATCTTTCTTAAACACACTGGTTCTATACCAGGGCTAATATATATGGTAGGTAGCTGTAACTTATGCTGTCTAAAATGTAAAGGCTTTCTCTTCCTGTATTAATATTGAAAGTTTTTTAGTTAATGTTTATCTTATGTGAGGGGAGGAATCGATTTGAACCAAAAACAACCTCAAAACTCTCCTCAAAAGGGAACAAAAACATTGCTTTTTCAATCTTGCTGCTTCAAGTTAGGTTCCCTAAACATCGCCATCTCTTTACAGAAGCAATCAACAATTTAGGTCTGGCAATATCATTAAAGAACTGTGACTTTGGACAAATCATATACATTTGGAAAATTTTAGCTCTCCTAAATATTAAAACAAAAAAATTAGAGTTTATGCTAGATAATGTATAGGATCTGCTGTTGCAATATTACAATTATCTGATTATGTGTAATACATATCATATATTATATACTATATACAACATATATATCATATAGAATATATGATATTTGAAAGTTTCTGAAATATATTTCCCCATTGTTGAATACGCACATCTCAGAAAGACACTACTAAATGCTAAGAAATGAATTAATTAGTTACTACTTGGTAAGCAGTACCCCATAATAATGTACTCAACTGTTTATTTAAATTAATCGTCTTACAAAATATATTAACTCCTCACCAAAGTAAGATGCATTACCTCATTCTATTGATTCTTGGAAGGAAATAAAAAAGGCAAATATTTTCTCTGCTTTACAAAGAGAGGAACTAGAACTTGGTGAGTGGATGGGATTGTATAAGCAGATCACAGAGCAGGCCAGCATCAGAAGGAGAATAAACTGTGGCCCAGTGAATCTATAGAGCTTTCCATTAACACTATGCCTCTTATTATCTGTTACACTTTGTAGTGTATGAGTGAGTGTGTTTATGCATTTTGGGGTAGTGGGTAGGAAAGCCAGTAGAGAGGAGGTAATCATTGAGCTATGACGTGATCTAGAAAGGTTAATTCATTCCCTGCACTAGGGGTTCCAGGGTATCACTAAAGACTAGATTCAAAAGGTTACATAGCTCTTCCATTTGCTCTCTAGCTGCTGAAGTTCATTAAGCCATATTATAATGGGAAACGCTTACCTTATAAAGATAGTGTTAATCTACAAATATAAATGTTGCTTCAAACTTTCAAAAAATTACCTTGCTCTTTCTAAAGTCTACACAAAATGTAAACACAAGTCTTTAGGGAATGGGACAACCCGGCAACAGAATTCATCATCCCATGAACTGCAAAGTTGTCTCAAATATTGATCTTTTCCCAAATAAAGGCCCATACATGAATATCTTCTCTCTTGGGACAATCAGATAAGTCAGATCAAAGTTCTCAATATTTTTTCTTTTCCTTTCCTGGCCCAGCTGTTTTTGGACTCTTATGGTTGAATTAAATGAATTTTTTTCCTGTTTTCCTATTTTCTCTTTACCATTGTTTGTTATCTGAGCTTCACCATAAGTTTAAATAAATTCCTCAAATCAAAGACCAAGAATAAAAACAGTATGAATATCAAATAATTTTGAGAATTTGGCTATCACCTCAAATATTTTATTTCAATACCTGAAAGGTATTTTTCTTTTACTTATTTGATACATATGTTGACATATAGCTCAGAATTTCTGGCTTACAACAAATTTGTTAATTCCTCAAAGAAAAATAAGCCAATTTTATTAAAATAAAAGGTGAACAGAATGATCAAACATTAACTAAGCTAAGCACAAAGTAAGGTGTTCTCCTCAAATTGCTTCAACATCTTAATGTCAGCTATAATCTTTCCAGTTTGAGGTTCAAACAAAAATTGCCTGGCTAGAGCACAGCAAAGATGGAGCTTCTTTAAAAACGGGCTGTACTCTACAATTTGTTGAGCCAAAAGATGCATGGTGCTTTCTTGGATCATGTGGACCACACCAAAGAGAGAACCAACCTGGAGCTGTTTAAATTCTTATCCAAGAAGATGTAGTTCAGGGGTACTAGGCTGATAAGACTAGATTCTGATATCCTGACTGAACACTATTATCACTGATTGTGCTCATGTAACTAGGAAACCATTTTACACATAGCAGACACAGCAAAGCAGATTATGATACACTTTTGCTTAAAATCCCACTATTGGTTTCCCATTGCATGTAGAATGAAACCCAAACTCCCAAATCTGGTTAACGAAACCCTACTTGGTTAAATATCTACCTGCCCTGTTCAGTCACTCCCTTTCCCCCATGGCAGTCCATCTACTGGTTTCCCTACTTTTCCCCTAACAAGGAGGGCTCTCTGTGCCTGAAACTCTTTTCTCTTTTTCATGATGGCTTCCACCTGTCATTTAGATATCAGTTTAAATGTGACCTCCATAGATATATCTTGCCTGACAAAACGCTCTAAAGCAGTGACCAAGACTCTCTCCCTAACCAAACATCAGGCAGGTTCCTCTTTTCAACTAGATCTCATCCTTGGACAATGTCCCTAACCTTCCTAAGCCAGCCTAAATGAAGAATCCTACGAAGTGATTTCCCACCTTTGATATCTCATCAAGGTCTTCATCCTCTACCCTTAATGTCTAAGTCCTTGGCCTGCCTTTAGCAAGAATCTTGTTAGTCCAGTTCAGCAACTCCCTATCCTTGATGTCTCCTCTTAAAAATCTTCCATCCACTGACCCCCTCACTCTGCTCCTTGACTATAAATCCCCAGCTGTCATTGCTGTGTTTGGAATGAAGTTCAGTTCTTTCCTCAATTGCAATAGTACAAAATAAAATCTGTATCGGCTTTAACTGGTGTCTGGCTCTGTTTGTTTTTGATAGTAGCCACCCGGTCCCCTGGTATCAAATTACCCTATTTTAATTCTCTGCATAGAACAAATCCTTACGACATTATTATGGTGTTTTGTTTATACACTAGGATGCAAAGCTTTGGGAAAAGAGGGCCATTGTCTCTCTCAATCACTGTTTCATCACCAGTGCATATAGCCTAGAACAAAGCTTGGCAATGGCTACACACTCAAGAAATTTTGTTGGGTGAGACCATTTTCATGATATATCTAAAGGGGTATGAAAATGCACACAAGAGAATGCTGAAAATTAGCATATATATATAAGATTATAAAAAGGCAAAAATGAATAAATCAAATATTAAAAGTTGAGCCCTCAGGTTTCTTCTTTATACAATGTTGTATTTTCCAAATTTTCCACTAACAGTATTACTTTTAAGGTCAGAAAAACATAAAAAATAACACATGAAAAAAAGTAGTTTAATGAATCACCATTTTTAGTTGGTTTAAAATGTGTTTCTTTGGAAGAAACCTTTTGCTTGCTGCAAGTTTTCAAGATTATTGATTCTGTGCCAAGAGAAAGACACATTCAAATATAAAAATGAAACAAGCACATTTTCACAGGGGAAAAAATGGTCAAAAATAGTTATTTCCTTCCTTAAAGTTCTAAAGCCTAGCTGATTTTAAAACCAAGGAAATAATAAAATAGAGAACAGGGAGAAGAGGATAAGAGTCTGATATTACTTAGATATCATATTACCTATGTCAGGGAAATCAAGAGCAAATGCTGTTTTCCCTGTGTAATATGATTCAGTCATGATTGAGTACTAGTGATTCATGTGGTGCTGTTAACTAGTGCGATGATCGACAGGAACTGCAGTACTTTCCTTACACCCTGGGTCAACTACTCTCCAATGCATTTGCAGATGTCCACTTATGGCATCTGTCTTTAAAACACTCCTCCTTTGTTGGCTGTTGCTTACTATTTTATGACAGTCACTGTTGTTATTGATGTTTTAAAATCGTTCTTTACATGAATAAACACAACACTGTCAGATTACATGTCATGGAGATTCATCAATTAAGGTAAGATAAAATGAGAAAGAACTCATCTCCTATTTCTCTCATTAGATAAAAAGCTTTGGTGGAATCTACTGACCTTAGGGCCCTTATGCAGGCTATTGGTTCCCTCTGCCTACAATGTTTTTCGTTTGTTTGCTTGTTTGTTTTTCCCCCAGAGAGCCAAATGACTTCCTTCCTCCCTTCTTTTAGGTCTGCATTCAAATGTATTTCACCTTCTCTATGAAATGGTCCTGACCAACTATTTAAAACTGGAATACCCCAACACCCAGTATTTCCCTCTCTGCTTCCTATTTTTCCTCAACAATTATCACCATCTAATATCCAATGCTTTGTTTACTGCCTGTCTCCCCCAAAACTGCAAGCTCCATGAGGGCAGGGATATTGGTCTGTTTTGTTCCTACTATACACCTAGAAATGTAACTTGTTGAGTGAGTAAATGATACAGGTGAATTTGCCAGTGTTACAATTTTTGAGATTATGTCTCATAAATTTAATCCATCTATGACTTATACACTGAGATAAAGGATCACTCGAAATCTCTCTTGTGGTTAGAAATGGGTCCTAGGGTTCAAGGACCTAGAATTGTCACAGTTCCTTTTGTACTCCTGAAATCTTAAAAGGTTAAAGAAAACCTCCAGTGAGGTAACCAAGGAATTATGACATTTGGCTGTTATGGATCCTCGCAAAAAGATGTACACTGTGTCAGAAGGTGTTGACAATGCTATCTAGGACACAAAAGTTTAGAACTTTCCCCAGCATTCTTTCTCTTTTTATAAGTTTAGTCTGTATGTAGTGTCAAAATGAAAAGAGTTCTTGTTTTAGCTTGGCAGTTTTTCGAGTGTTTGACTTTGGTATCCTAGAGGAAATGGAGGAAACTAGTTTCATTATCCACAAAAATTGAGTTTCATAGGAGGACCTGATACAAACCAAACCAAACCAAAACAAACAAATAACAACTTTCTGCACAGGAATTGCAACTTCACTAAACAAAGATTTGATTTTATCTTAAACCTGAGCAAGAGAAGTAATCTTTGAACTATAGTGGTTCATTGCGTAATTTCTCTTTAGCCAATGTTGTGGGCAAATGATGTCCTCCCCAAATTCCTATGTTGATATGCTAATCCTGATAGCACACTTCAGAATGTGACTGTATTATTTGCATATAGAGTGTCTAAAGGGGTAATTAGGTGAGAATGAGGTTATCAGTGTGGGCCCTAATCCAATATGACTGGTGTCCTTACAAGAAGAAATGAGGACGCAGACATTATACAGAGGGAAGACCATGTGAAGACACAGTGAGACGACAGCCACCTACTTGCTTAGGAAGGAGGTCTCAGAAGAAACCAAACCTGACAACACCTTCATCTTAGATTTCTGGCTTCCAGAGCTATGAGAAAATAAATTTCTGTTGCTTAAGCCACCCAGTCTGTGGTACTCTCTTACTGGCAGTCTTAGCAAACCAATACAGCCAAACAAGAAATGCCATAAATTTTTGTCAGAGTAAAATGCTTCTAGAGAGGTAGATTTATATGTCAGAGTTGTTTTGTTCTCTCCTCAAACCAGAAGGTTCCTTTTAATCAGCTGGCAGTATGTTTTGTTCCTACTATACACCTAGAAATGTAACTTGTTGAGTGAGTGAATGATATAGGTGAATTTGCCAGTGTTACAATTTTTTTTACCCATAGTATCCATTCATTTAAGACCCTAAGATGCACCCACTAAGTGCAGAATACTAAAAACATCAAAGCAGGAATAGAAATTGAATGCCCCTACACATAAAATTAAAACACCTGTAAACTTTTCAGTGAAAGATTTTGCAAATTCTACATCACTGTTACCCCTTTTCTCACTGCTTCTAGATCAGAAATACTTAGGTTAACAATAAAATTGAGGGAGCTGGGACAGTAACATTTTTCCAAAATAATCAAACCTATTATCACAGAATCCAGTTTACACATATTTCTGAATTTACTTTTTCTTTCCTGTGTTTTTCTTGTTTCTTATATTCATCACATTTTAAAAATTTTGAAAAGTCATGCAATTTTATAATTCATGAGGGATAAATATTCTAAAGTCCTTTTACTATTTCTAGAATCAAATCAATAACTATAAGGTAAACTTTTTTGTTTTTGGAGACAAGGTCTCATTTTGTCACCCAGGCTGTCTGAAGTGCATGGCTCACTGCAGCCTCAACCTCCTGGGCTCAAGCAATCCTCCCACCTTAGCCTCTCTAGTACCTGGGACCATACATGCACACTACCACATCCAGCTAATTTTTTTAATAGTTTGTAGAGATATGGTCTTGCCATATTGCCCAGGCTGGTCTCAAACTCCTAGGTTCAAGCGATCCTTCTGCCTCACCCCTCCAAAGTGCTGGGATTATAGGCGTAAACCACCGCACCTGGCCTAAAGTAAACTTTCTACAGGATATATGGAATGTAATTTAGCTGAGTAAAGTGATGACATAAATCCTGTCTTTCCATACTTCAGCAGCAGTAGCTGAACAATTCTTTTTTTTTTTTTTTTTTTGAGACAGAGTCTCGCTCTCTCGTCCCAGGCTGGAGTGCAGTGGCGCAATCTCAGCTCACTGCAAGCTCCGCCTCCCGGGTTCAAGCCATTCTCTGGCCTCAGCCTCCCGAGTAGCTGGGACTACAGGCGCCCGCCACCACGCCCGGATAATTTTTTTGTATTTTTAGTAGAGACGGGGTTTCATGTGTTAGCCAGGATGGTCTCCATCTCCTGACCTCGTGATCCACCCGCCTCGGCCTCCCAAAGTGCTGGGATTACAGGCATGAGCCACCGCGCCCGGCCTGTAGCTGAACAATTCTTAAAGACACATAAAAGCACTATTCAAATGAGACCTTATATTATTTTTTGAAGTGTTTATACATAATCACAACCTTTTGAAAAACTATATATATAACTTTTCAAAAAATTGTTATACTTGTTTCATTTTTACCTTCACAACTATTTTCCCAATTAGGTAAAGGATTATTGTTTTCATTATACGACTCTACAGAAAGGACATTGAACTCATTAACATAGCAGACTCCAAATTATGTGGTTAAAATAAAGCTAATATAACCAGGGATTACCTAAATTTATTTATTTATTCTTTAAATTACACTCAGGTTTTCCACTGGTTGGTACACAACTTTCAGCACAACAGAAAACATACACTATTAATTAATTTAGTATCTTTGTTTCCACAAACTTAATTTTTCACATTTCTACTTCAAAGATTGCATCAAAAAACAAACAGCAAACACAGGAAAACTTTGAGGTATCAAATGTAACCAAGATTGAAAGTTAGGAACCTATTTTTTAAAAGTTATAAATATTCTAGATTATAAAATTAGCATTTTTATTGTGGTAAATAACATAAAATTTTAAATTAACATTTAAAAAACATTAAAAATACGTTCTCACCAATATTAGGGTGCTTCAAAAGACGGCAGATTCTAGCTTCTCTTTCTAGTTTCTGATGATCTGTTAAAAAAAAAAACAGAATAAGGCAAAAATAAAGCAAAAAATAATAAAACACAATAAACAGCATAACAAAATGACAAAAGGCCTTTGCATTTACTTATCCTTTGATTTCATTTTGAAACAATGATAATTCAAATTTAGAATTAAGTGAATAGCACATAGTTCAACAATCTAATTTTATTTTTCACTGACTTGATGCTTGACAGAGTGCAGTATAGAACAGTGCTAGATTTAGACTTCGGGAAAATAGTGGAAATTGCACAAAACAATACTATTCTTTCTCATCTTTACATCAAGTATATATTATTGTAATAAGTTAAATAACCCAGTATAGACATACCAATTTAGAGCAGAGGATGCATATATGGAAATTGAATTGCCAATGGAATAAGTGCTAAGTCAGGTAATTATATTTTATCCCTAATGGAGAATGTTCTCTGTTCAGTCATATGTTCTGTTAACCATTCTCCTTACAATTGTTGGCTCAACTTCCTAGGTATATGATGCTCTTCCTAATATCAAAGATTTCCAAAAATCCCTAATTGCTTGCTCATCTTTACCTTTCTATGTTTCCCTAACCATTTCTTTGAAGAAACATGAAACACTATAGACTTGTGTTTTAAGAATTATCTTAATATTCTTCTTTGATTTTTTGGTGGAGGTACCTATAAACATAAATATAACCAAAATGACTCATCAAAACACAAAATAAATCATAGAGAGAAGACAAAAATATGGTAGAAACACATGTTGCTGATAAGGGTAGCAGTGTATAGTGGTCATTAGTTGAAAACTTATACACAAAATATCTGATTTAAATCTTACAACCACCATCTTATATTGGCAATATTATCCCTATTTTAAAATACAAATGCCAGTAGTTTAACACCACTGCCTCGATTAATGCAAAGCCTCCAGCAATTTCATCCACTATTTCTTTTGCATTTATGATGCAACACATGTCAACACATATAAAAATGTCAACACTTCTTTAAATAAAAGGAAAATAATGTTTTAGTTTTAGTTTGGAAATAGTTTTGACCTTGAAGATCCCCTAAGAGAGTTTCTGGCACTCCCTGGGTCTGCAGACACACTCTGAAAACCACTCGTCTGTGCTATAATGAACTGTTGTATATAATGTATATAATGTAGATTTTTTTTGGCCATTTAGAAAAATATTTTAAACACGTATAGTGCTATTAATAACTCAAAGTGTCAAAAAACAGTGTCTTAATAAATCAGCCCAGCATTAGATAGGCTCTAACAGTGTATCTCCATTATATCTGGATTCCCAAATACAAAGATAGATACTCTCTGGACCTACCATTATCTAAAATTATACCTACTTCAAATAAATGTAAATTCTTCAAACTCCCTATCTTTTTAACAAGTACTTATTCTTAAGACAAGCTACTTCCAACTTATTTAGAAGTATGCAAGCAAACACAAAAAGTAAAGGTAGATTTTGAAAATGCCTCTAACAGCAATACCATAAATATTGCAAAGTGTTATACCTAAAGTATATGAAAGAGGCTGGGCACAGTAGCTCACCCCTGTAATCCCCGCACTTTGGTAGGCTGAGGCGGGTGGATTGCTTGAGGCCAGGAGTTCAAGACAAGCCTGGCCAACATGGCAAAATCTCATCTCTACCAAAAAAAACACAAAAATTAGCCGGGTGTGGTGGTTGGTGCCTGTAATCCCAGCTACTCAGGAGGCTGAGGCAGAAGAATCACTTGAACCCGGGAGATGGATGTTGCAGTGTGCTAAGAACGTGCCGCTGCACTCCAGCCTGGGTGACAGCGGGAGGCTCTGTCTAAAAATAATAATAATAATAATAATAATAATAATAAAGTACATGAAAGACATATACTTAAACAGAGATTTGAATTTTGTTATGGAGACAGGGATATGAAAATATATGTGCTGAACTATGTGATTTTTTTATATATATAAATCATCTGAAAAATATATAATTACATTAAAATAAAGAATAAAAAGGAAGCAAAAGACCTTTACAGACAGTAAGTTCTACAGAGTTTTTGCTATAGAGATAAACATAACTATAAAAAAATTATCGTATGAGCTGAACTGTTGTTTCCCCATAAAATTCATATGAAGCCATCCTAATCTCCAGTTCCCACAGAATGTGACTGTATTTGGAGATGGAATGTTTAAAGAGGTGACTGAGTTAAAATGAGGTCATTATTGTGGGCTCTAATCTAATATGACTGGTGTCCATATATGAAAAGGGGACTAGTGCACTGACACACACAGAAGGAAGATCACGTGAAGAGACGAGGATAAGACAGGCATCTACAAGGCCAAGGAGAAAAGCCTCAGAAGAAATCAACGCTTCTGACACCTTCATCTTAGACTTCTGAGCCTCCAGAATTGTGAGAAAATAAATTTCTCACAATTGGCTATTTAAGCCACCTAGTCTGTTGTACTTTGTTGTGGTAGCCCTATCAAACTAATACATCTAATGTATCAGTTTTCTATTGCTATGTGTCCAACACCTCAAACTTAGAAGCTTAAAACAATGCATATGTATAATCTCACAGTTTCTGTGGGTCAGGAACCTGGGCATATCTTAACTGAGCCCTTTGCTTTAGGGTCTCTCACCAGGCTGCAATCAAGGTGTCAGCCACGGCTGGGGTCTCATCTGAAATCTTGACTGAGGAAGGATCTGCTTCCAAGCTGGCATAGTTGTTGGCAGTACTCAGTTCCTACAGGACTTGTTGAGGTAAGGGTCTGAGTTCCTAGCTAGCTGTTGGCTGGAGGATGCCCTCAGTTCCTTGCATGTGCCAATATGGCAACATGTTTCATCAAAGTCACCAAAGGGAAGAGTATGGTAAGCAAAAGGGCAGGTCATTATCTTATTTAGCCTAATCACAGAAGTGATATCCCATCATGTTTTCCATATTCAATTGGTTAGAAAAAAAAACCTAGGCTGGCCCAATTTCAATGTACAAGGGCATGAACAACAGGAGGCAGGATTATTAGGGCATCTTAGAATTTGTCTGCCACAGTAGATTTTTTTTTTTTTTTGAGACAGAGTTTTGCTCTTGTCAACCAGGCAGGAGTGCAATGGCACAATCTTGGTTCACTGCAACCTCCACCCCCCGGGTTCAAGCAATTCTCCTGCCTCAGCCTCCCAAGTAGCTGGCATTGCAGGCACCTGCCACCATGCCCAGCTAATTTTTGTATTTTTGGTAGAGATGTGGTTTCACCATGTTGGCCAGGCTGGTTTCAAACTCCTGACCTCAGGTGATCCACCCTCCTCAGCCTCCCAAAGTGCTGGGATTATGGGCATGAGCCACCGTGCCCAGCCCACAGTAGACTTTATAACAATAGTACTGATGGGCTTTCTCTTGAAAAGCAGCTTCATTTACTTTTCCTCCATATAATCACATAACTTAGTGATCTTCTATGAATCATAGGCATTCTGCACTCTCCCACTGGGACATGTTTTGACATCCCAAACATGATGATATAAGTAAATTCTAGTTTCCATTAAAACTAGAAATTAACAATAATGAAAATGCATATCACCTGGTATGTTTCACATTTAACATCAAGTCCACAACCTGACTTTTAGAGAGAGTAGGCAGGTGAGGAGTGATTAAATACCTACTACAGTATTACCAAAAAGCACATTTCTGTATTTATCCTGCTACAGAGATGGATTACTTTTAAAGTCTCCTTTACTTTTAATTCTGTCAGCAACAAAAACTACATATGCTACCTCATCATTCCCAGCTCTGACAACTACAGTGGCAAGCAGTAAAGACAGATTATAAAAGGCAAGACAGCCATAATACTGTTTGGCACCATTTGAAGATTTTCTTTTATTATCCACAGGCCCTGAAGCCAGTGTGGAACCAGCCTTATTTATCATTTAATATTTATTAAAGTCCTTGAACTATAATAGTTTGGCCTTATTATTCCTTTGAAGCTCAAGTCCATACTCTTATATGAATCAAAATATAACTCTTCAGGCTGTAATCTTGTCAGGTCTGATAAGGTACAAACTGTTAGTAATATATGGTTGAAGACCTGCCATATAAACAATGCCTTAAGGAAAATACATCATCATTTGGTTTTGACATGAAGTCAGCGGGGGAATAATATTACCAGTAGAAAGACTTTTGGATTTTAAAACATTTCTCAAGAATTTTGGTGAAATGTTGTTATAACATTGCTTCCCAGCTAAGATATATTTTAACTTACAAAATATTTTATTTCAAATGAGGTGGAAAATGTGAATTCAGACCTAATGAAGTAAATCCTTGACTCCTGTTCCAAATCAAATTTTAATCTTTATGCAAAAGAATAATCCTGATCACAAATGCAAATTAAAGTGCTAGCCCTGATTCACTTTCACTCAACGATAGAAATATCACTAAAGCTACATAAAGCAACAATATATCTACTCAGGCAATATCAGAGAATAAGCTCTTATCAATAAGCAAATTTCAAAAGTACTTATTTACTCCTCCAAATACCCAAGCATTAAAATATTAACCTTGTTGGGGGGTTGGGGGAAGATCTAACAGTCATTGCTTTCTTACATGAATGACATATATAAAAGAATTTCATCTTTCTTGACACCACTGAGTCCTCATTATTAGCATTAATTATTACTCTCCTGTAATCCAGTGAAGTCCTCAGAGGCTACAGAGGTGTGAAAACCCACAGGTACCTGCACCACCTACCAAATGCCAAGGGAGGGATTTGGGCAAAAGGAGGGGTTGCCTTCTGTCATAATTGGTCAGTTACTGCCCCTCCCAACAAATACACACACATGCATGCACACACACGCACGCATGCACACACACGCACACGCAGGCACACACACATATAAGCATAAAACCTAAGGAAGGCTTGAATTTGCCATGGCCGAGAAGGTTTAATTCTTCTACTCCCCTTCCCCACAAAGAGAATCCCACTCCCAAAATAATCTTATATCAAAATTACAGAGGAGTTGCCCATGGGAGCATGAAAAATGGAATGTTTAAAATCCAGCTCTATCACTAATTTTTACCTTGCTGGCCTTTCGGCTTGTCAGCTTAAGCTGCTGAGCTGCTGAGCTGCTGTGTTCCCTATTCTTATCTCTTTAGTCCTGACCTTTCCTGGCCTTATGCTCCAGTTTGAGATCAATGCCTCAGATCTGTTTTTGAGGGCAGGTTAATTTTGCCTCCCTGGCTTCCTTACTACAGCCAACCCAACTCGATTTTGAAATTTTTCACATTTGTTTCATTTCCAAGAAACTACAGCCTCGAGTAAGAGACATTCTACTTGCCCCTCTGGAAGAAACCTGGCTGGCTACTCATTCTCAGAATAGGGGAAGATAATACTAAATGTACCTAAACTATTTGAAGTTTTATACTGTTGCATCTGCTTATTACATTTTTTTAAAAAATCTCTTCATGAGTTATTGCTGTCAGCTGTTAGTGCTGTGAATGGCTCCAGTACATAAAACAGTTTCAGGGGCACATAACAGGCCTTAAATAAATGTTTGTTGACTGAATAAATGAATGAAGGATGGATGCCCCTTCTTTTTTCACAATTGCTGTGAACGGAGAAATAGAGAAAACAAAAGCTTAAAAATATAATCATAAATAAGCTGGAAGTGAGAACCTAGAGATCCTCTCTTAAAGAAAGATGCACTTTTTAGTGCATGGATTCCGGAGCACTATAATGTAGCTACTCAGAGGCCTTCTTCCTGGAGGTTTTGGAATTACACAGTGAATGCATTTTTCTTGTTAGAGAAATTATGTCTCACTGAATGAGGCATTTCTCTAGAAAGAATATAGAATCTATCCATTTAAGTAGGTCACATTTAAGAACAGACTGCAAGGTAGAAGGGGCTAAGGAAAGGGCCATTTGACTACAAAACCTGAACAGGATGTATATGAATTTAAAGCTGTCATATCCATTTAACAAAAAGTTTTAAAAATTCATAATTAAATATTACAAAACTATGCTATGTCATTGTGTCATAAATTTGAATTTTTAACTATTTGACCTAGAATCTTTCTGACATTAGGGACCAGTCCTTCTGCTGCCCACTATGCCTTGGAAGCATCAGTAAGATCCTACAACTATATAGGATGATTGTTCTTCTTTTCATGGCAAAGTAGAATTAGATATAGATGCTGAAAATTCCTACATCTTAATTTTGAATGAAAGTTTCTATATCTTAATTTAGAAGTGAAACTTTTTGAAAGTCTATTCTGTGCTGGAAGCTCATACAAATGTAGATTATGAATTATGATGTGAGTCCAACCTTGATTCTATATGGCCTGGAAACCATGGCTTCCTTGTGGAGAAGCTCAACCCCAACATTTGAAAAAAAAAATTACGTGAAAAAAGAACCAAGCCTCTACTTCATTTTACCTTCATTCTGCAGTTTCATCTACGGAGGAAAATGGAATTTTCAACTGACTACAGAGGAATAAAAACCCATAACGAAGGTCCCTAATTTTGTAGAACACTAGACACACTGTAAGAGACAAGCCAGAGAAATGGAAAGACCTCTGGCTTCAGAGTGAAGCAGACAAGAATTGCTATCCTGGTTCTACCACTAACTACTAGCTAGGTGTCCAAGTTACTTGACCTTTCCAAAGCTCCTTCCATAACATGGGCATAAAATACCTAGCACCAGGCACTGTATCTGGAACAAAAGAGGTCCTCAAAAAATTATAGTGTCAACACTATTATCATTATTATTGCTAAAAATGTGTCCAACTTTAAAAGAACTAAATTCCTAAAAGCTACATTAAAAATTATATTAATTCCATAAAAATTATTTATTTTACATGTATCCTATTATAAAAATAACTGTTTTTCATAAAATCATATGATTATGCCCTCCAGGCCACCGATAACAGAAATAGTGGGAGAACCACTGGTATCTATGGTCAGAAAGAGACAAACTGAATACAGTAAAATACGGACAAAAACTCACAATTATTCAGTTTTATAGTATATGCTAAACATCTCAAAAATAATATAGAAAAAACTATTATTTGTCTGAGTGTAAAATTTGTAAATAAATAAAATTGTTCGGTTTTATCTATAAACTTACTATATTCTTTTATTCATCCATTTTGCATATCTGAAACATCTCTTCTGATTAATAGTTTATCATAAAATTGTTTAAGAGGGAGCTGCTGTATAATATATTTATTCTCTTTCACAGGACTGTAAAGGAATAAATATTGATATTTGATGGCACCATTCTTATGTTGTCCTACAGAAGAAATTATTTTCCCTCTTCCACAACAATAATGGCATCTATTCAGAGATATAACATTATATATGTTATTTAAAAATGCTTTACACAAAATTATGAAAATGTAAAGCAAAATCTACATTTTATAGGGCTCTTGTTCAGTTGCAATTTAAGTGAAGATACAACCTATTGTAGTCCTTTTAAAATTATAAACTATAGTGAATCCTAATTTATATAAAATATTTTCATATAAATGTTTATTTAATGTCTGATTATATAAACTATCTACATAGCTATTAAGAAGGAGATGGGCATACTCTGCTAAGACCTAATAGAAGTTTCAAGAGAGCCTCTTACTAAGCCTTATACTACTTCTAGGTGATGGGCTAAGGGGAATCTGAATTGAGCTTTTATCCCTTGGGAAGGGGAAAAGTGGGAGCATAATTGTGTAGAACAGGTACACTGGAGGAGGTATAGTATTGAATGGAGACTGTTGGTGGACTGTAGATTTCCTTTGGAAGATCAAGGAAGGAGATGGGCAGGAAACTCTGATTATACCCTTCGTAGCTCTACCTGACATTAGCGATCTCCCCTCAGTTTTCATACCTTCTGTGATGGTGTTGCTGTCTTCCTTTCACGAGAGTGCCTCTGTCTGTCTGTCTGTGTGTCTGTCATTCTGTTAACATGGCTATATCACTCACTGCATGTTCCAAGATATGAAACATGTCTTATGAAGGTCACCAGAGGATTTAGGCAGGAGGAGTAAACCAGGAAGCATAAGAAGAGGAGAGTGGTATGCAGAATGGCCAGATAGCCAGGACATGTACCTTCAGGAGAAAGAGGATCCAAGCAGTACTCAGTAGGTCAGAGTCAAGACCTGTCCAAAGGAGGAAATCAAAACTTCCAGATGGCATTAGGACACATGGTATCAGACAGAGTTCACACAGAACAGATGACCATCTGTCAACAGTACCATTTAAAACTATTATGGCTGGGTGTGGTGGCTCACGTCTGTAATCCCAGCAATTTGGGAGACCCAGGTGGGCAGATCACAAGGTCAGGAGTTCGTGACCAGCCTGGCCAACATGGTGATACACCGTCTGTACTACAAAAAATACAAAAAATAGCTGGGCATGGTAGCGTGGGCCTGTACTCCCAGCTACTCTGGAGGCTGAGGCAGGAGAATCGCTTCAACCCAGGAGGCGGAAGTTGCAGTGAGCCAAGATTGTGCCAGTGCATTCCAGCCTGGCTGACAGAGCAAGACTCTGTCTCAAAAAATAAATAAATAAACAAACAAATAAATAAATAAATAAAAAACTATGATGTTTCAACTGATTGTTAATATTGTAAGTAACAAGCCCTTATATAAACCACAAGTTATAAGGATATTAGTTGGTGCATGTTAAGAATTAAAGAGGTTTAAATTTGTCTATATCTTTATTTTAATTGTATATCAATAATTTAATTCATATAAAATTATTCCAATTATACTATTATAGAGGACTGATGAGATAAATTTTGTATAATATATTAACTCTACCCTCAGTCTACAATCAAATAGTACTTTCCTTAGATGTAATTTTGCTTGTGAGAAATTTGCTGCACAATTCCATTTTGACTTTTAGGCATAATAGAGCTAAGTCACTTGAGACACTTTGTATTAAAATCCTTCAAGCTTTGGCTATCTAGAGATTAGAAGGACCCAGAATGGAAACAAGGCATACTAAAGATAAACACATCTCTACTAAAAATACAAAAAAAAAAAAAAATTAGCCGGGCACAGTGGTGGGCGCCTGTTGTCCTGGCTACTCGGGAGGCTGAGGCAGGAGAATGGCATGAACCTGGGAGGCAGAGCTTGCAGTGAGCCAAGATCGCGCCACTGCACTCCAGCCTGGGCAACAGAGCGAGACTCCGTCTCAAAAAAAAAAAGATAAACACAATCCACCCTTAACCATCTTTTTCCAGTGGCCCCAATGATTTTTACAGGCAGTTGTACAGTAACACAAGAGAACACTTACTTCAGGGATTTTGTTTTTCTTTTTTTGTTTTCTTATTGTGGTATGATAAACATATTTTGTTATTCTTAAGCATTTTTCCTAAGAATTAAGTACACGAATTTATACAAAAAGTGAAAAGTATAAAATATTTATATGGTTTTCCACAGGAAAATTTTCCTTAGGTAGTTTAATACTAACACATTAAAAATAGAGATAAAAGAATAACTTTGGATAACAATTTAGAAGAATAAAGGGAATGAAATGTAAAAGAACACAGATTTTTTATGGTTCCTTTAAAGCATCTGGAACATGCTGTTATTCATTTTTCTGTGACTGAGTTCTCCTGAGAGGTAACTGTGAAGCTAAAGTAGCTTAGGCATCTGGGCCCTTCATATGCACAGACTCCTGAAAGGACCTTAGCAATGTTTACAGACTCATATGTTTTCATAAAAGTTGCAAAACATGATATCTTAACAGTAATCAGTTATGATCACTATTTCTTTCCACTCTCCTTTTTCCTCCATCGCACTTCTCTTTGTGTTGGGCGACACTGGAGCAAGCATGAACATTTTTGAGATCTAACAAAGGGAAAGTTGAGCTGCACTGAACATACATGTAGTTTAGGTTTAATAAAACATATTTACCTGGTTTGCAGTCACTTCTATGTTGAGGTATGTTATTGCCAGCCATCCCAATGTAGGGATGTTTTGGAAATACACCCACCTCCCAGTCTGCCATGAGATAACGATGTTGACACACCAGAGGTGGTATCAGCATATGAACCTGAACTACAGATCACCCTACAAGTGTGTGAACAAAGGAGGAGGAAAAATGTTTTTGTTATTTTTCTGGAATTTGTTATTCTTTGTAGTATCTGTCAGCTTTTTAAAATTTGTATTCTTATGACTATTTCATCCTAAATATATATTCACTTTTGAGTTTAATTTTTTATTTGTAATCTTTTCCTTAGGAAGAACCTCCCAGATTGCATACATGTGAGGTGCTGCTAAGTGTGGATGCATGTTCCTTGTTATGCTTATGAAAAAAAGTAGAAGATGAGAATGTATTGTTTAAATTCTAAACACAAAAAAGACTTGCATATTAAAATACCTCAGATAATTTATAATATTAACTTTCTTCTTTAAGTGAATAGAATCTCATTTATACTGCTAAAACTAGTCATTAAAATCCCATACATATCTTATATTACATTAGTCATGAGTGACCCGCCATAGTAAAATGATCACTAAGTTGAAAGTCAAGGTAAAGAAATTGGCTTCCAGTACAGACTCTGCCAAGAATGACAAAAAAGCAAATCTTATACATGTGTAAAGGTATATTTATTCCTCTCTATCCTATTAAGATACTGTAAGTTTGAGATACTATGTATTTATTTTTAAGGGAAAAAGTCCTTATATCAGACATGCTACTTAACATATTTGTAATTAATATTTTATTAAGCAAACACAAGGGAACTGCTAGCTGTTTTGGAAGATGAAGTAAGATGTTTCGGTTTAAGTACTTGCAAACTAATAATTAAACTAGCAATTATAAGAATATCCTTTGAATTGAAAAAAGAAAATGAAGTTATCATTGATTGAACTACAATCCCCAAGTTAAAAAATGTAAGACACTTAAAATCTTGCATCTATATATTTTAATTCTATTAATTGAATTAATTTAATTAATTAATTAAAAATAAAATTAATTTAATTCTATATTCTTTGTTTACCACATTTGTGAATGCTTTCATTTCCTATACATACACACACACAAACACACACATAAATGAGGTTTAATGCAGCCACCTAAATGAAAAAAAATACTACTGAGTCAAGATGTTTAAAATGAAATTGTGTATCCCATGTACCTCAAAAATATGTAAAACTATGACATATCAATTAAAAAATATAAAACAAATGAAATTTTCCGTTTTAGCTGAAACCTTGAAGGCTAAAAACAAAATAATTATCAGATACAGGTGCCAAACCAGAACTTGCCAAGGGTTCATTTGAAGCCATTCTGTCATCATGAGCCCACTGTTTGCTTTTGGCTCTACAAGAGAAGGTAATGAGACCCCCAGAGAGGACTACTCAGGATAGAGTGGTTAGAACATTCTGTACCACCTCCTACTTCACACCACAAAAGAGCTTACTCAAGGGTACCAAATTGGAAGGGAATGAGTGTCTCTGAGAGAAATATTTGAAAAAAATGCATCTCCTGGAGTTAGAGAAAAATAACTACTACCTATTTTAAATCTGACTTTAAAGGCAGGAAATTGTGGCTTGCTAACTGTCCTGGAATTGCAAAGCCTAGAGGACTCCATTGTGATCAGGCTATGCTTCCAACAATTGCAAGAAAATTCTCATGGACAGGATACAGGCCCACAGGAGGAATGATCTCACAAGGGACAATGCCCAAAAGGACCACCTGGCAAGGCAATGTAATCCCAAAAGTGGGGTGTAAAGCCAGAAACCCAGGAGCTGCAAAGACAGCTAAAAACATCCAGCCAGGGGCGGCATGACTATCAGAGGAACTATACCCAGAGGTCCCTAAGAGGATTTATCCGAAGAGAGAGTCAGCAATCATGCATCTAACAGAGGGTAGCAGTGCAGGTTGGAACTGCACCAGTGACTCAGACTTGCCCAGTCCCTTACAGCTCTTCTCTAAAAGGCCCTAAGGGCAGCCAGTGAGTGGGAGAGGAAGTCAGGTGACAAAGAGTGTCAGTACCATACACCCCCTGGTGCAAGGAGGCTGTCAAGCCTGAAACAGGCCCAACCTGAGGTAAGAAATTTTAAATGATTACTCTGATCAGGACTTTTAAAATCCTGAAATGAGAC
This sequence comes from Homo sapiens, assembly GCF_000001405.40. Lineage (NCBI taxonomy): Eukaryota > Metazoa > Chordata > Mammalia > Primates > Hominidae > Homo > Homo sapiens. The sequence goes on from NC_000004.12 coordinate 113,673,847, forward strand.
TGTTCTTGTGACTAAAAGACACAGCAAAGCTCTGAGATCTAACCAAGACTTCTTACATGGCTGAAATAAATATATTCAGTGGGAAGAGGAATAAAGTTGTTCCCACTTGCATCCCACTGAAGCTAGATGGTTAGAATTCTGATTACAGATTTATTATAAATATTTAACAAATATATAACCATCTAGTGTTTGAATTTACTGAATATCATTGCCTTTACATCACATACCTCTGCTTTCACAATTCCATGTCCAATACCCTTTGGAAGCAGAGCTAGGAAGAACAATCTAGGTAGATTATACTAAAGCAGTTGTTAAATATGCTTGCATATTTTTTTAAAATCACCTAAAATTTTTCTAGATAACCTACACTTCAGGAGTGTATCATCTTATTGATTCTGATATTGAATTTATGATACATATGAAATGCAGAATAAAATTCCCCAGACTGAGCAGAGTGGTATTCTCAATTAATCATCATTCTAGATGTCATCGTTCATCATTCATTGAGAAGGAACATTTACCTTTTACCCAGAATGCTCTGTCTCAGGTAAGTACTGCATCATTTAGAACACACATTTGGCATTGTCATAGCATTACAAGTGGGTCAGGCCTAAAGTTAAGAGCTTATTGCAACTCTGCCTGGCTTGATGCCCACAGTTTACAAGGAAGCATATTCAATGCCACTTAAATTGTCTGTGGTTCCTTCTAAATTCTGAAAGAGGAAGATTCCTCTATGTGACAAACTTCAAAGCTGGCAGACAAAAACCTGTCCAGGCTGGACAGTTAATTTCCTCTCCCATGGGAAATTAACAGATCTACTGCCCACCTGCTAAATGTCTGTCTGCAGAGTGATACTGAAAACAATTTCTGACTTGTGTTAATCCACAGATATTCTCAGAGCTTAAAGAAGGCTTCCTAACAAATGGAAAGGGGGTGGCAAGGGAAGCCCCAGGTGCTTAGTGGGTTTTTTGTATCACAGTTAACAGAAATCAATGACTACTCCCCCCGAGAGAATAAACAACAGAGGCACTAAGGAGGAACTTCTACTATTTGCTCCTTAAAACTTGAGACTCTAGGAATTCTGCCAAGTGACCTGGAAATAAGGGACTGTGACCAGAAGCCTCTGAAGAGAGCATCATGCATTAGCTTCTTGCAGTAGAATTAAACATACTGCTAACATCCATGCGTGCATATTCCATCTTTGACAACTTACCTATCTTCTACACAATAGAAAAAGAAACTCTTCTTTTCACATAGCCTAATTCCTGACTTTTCCCCTACCCTTGTTTTACCTTTTCCTTTCACCTTAATATTGGCTTTAAAAATCTCATTGTAAAACATGATAGATTCTCACTGAAAAACATGTATATTTCAGCTTAAAGAAATAAATATGATATAAAACTACCCCACTACCTAGATATACCACTATTTACATTTTGATGAATGTCTTGCCAGTCTTTTCCTAGGCATATATATAACATATTGCTTTCATCTTTAAAAATCATAACTTACATACTTTCATAAGCTGGTTAAATCCCTTAGGCAATTATTGGTACAGAGAGATTGCTCACTAGCCAGATAAACAAATGGAGAATGATAAAAGTTTACAAACATGAATGGAGGTGCAGACAGGGGAAGATCCTTTCCAGACAAGATGTATCCCCATATCAGAGAATGCCCCTCCGTGCAATTTCTGTCAAAAGGATCTAACTCATTGGTTCCACAAAAAGTTAGTATAAATGGTAAAGTTCCCATGGAATCAGAGGAAAAGTAAGTATTCTGATTAAAAAGTTCATCTCTGAAAGAAAAAAAAAACATGCGACTACTATGTAATTAATGTAGATGCAAAGGTAATTGTAGTCAGAGAGGTAAAATTCCATGTAAAGTTCATAAAATTTGCACATGTGCATAAAATTAAAAATAATAACACCTTCCATCTAATAGAGCTGATGCACTATTTTCTTCATTCATAATTTATCCCTATGCTTTATTCATTCACAGCTACCACTTGTCTTTGGGTAAGCCAAGATCTGTACAGCTTCTATACCAGTGATTATGACACAATTCCTATCATCTTGAAATATGCAAGCCAGATGAGGAAACTCCTTTAGTTCAGATTTTCATATATCTGTATAATGGCCAAAATATAATGAACAATTGGGAAAATATAACATTGAAAATCTAGAAACTTTATCTCTATCATACAAACCATTCAAATCTTATGAAATGTTTACTGGGCACACTAAGTGGTTCTCTTTCCCCACCACCATTCAACCCACTTTATGTATTAAAGACTTGGCATCTATCCAGTCTTCTACTTCACTGAAAGTTTGCCAACATTCTGGGCTATTTCAACAGACACAAGGATAACTGGTTCAACACTCAGCCTGTCAGTTCCTTGACCTCCCTGTCTCCAGTGGTCTTCATTTCCACTCGATTTCAGTCACCACTCTCGCAGTCATTCCTTGAAACTTGGCCATCCTCCTCCAGAATCAGGGAGTTAAAAATCACAGTTGCTGGCCATAAACTGCCCATTTTCTAGATTATTCAGTGTCTCCTAGAGTGGCTTTTTTTTCAAACCATCAGGAATACCAGTCCACTGACTCCTCCACTGTTCCCAATCCATAAGTCACTTTATTTACTTTGCTCCACACAACTCTATGCACTCTTTGACCCTGTCATGCTGGCCTTCTTTGAGTTCCTCAAATGTGCCATTGAAGGAGTTAAAAATATACCATTCTGGCATAATGACTATTGTGAATTAAAGGTACTTGAAAAACAGCAGGTACAAGATCATTCTGGCCTCCTTTCTGTTTCTTAAAAGCAGGAACACTGAAAGGTCCTCTCCCTATACCAGAAGGAAAGCAACATTCTTATCATCAAGGATGGAAATTTGAGCCAAAGAAAATTCTGTACAGACCTTGCTAAAATAGCTCTTGTCTCTTAAGCCTCTCCACATAATTTAGTTGCTTTTTCACAACTTACTATTCTTTGTCCAATTCAATCTATAACTGATTCACTCTAATTGTTTCTCTGGGTCTTCATTTCTTCATGAGGACTCCCACTGCTTTGTAAAAGTTGTATTAAATCAATTCCTGTGCTTTTCTCCTGTTAATCTGTCCTATGTCAATTTAATTCTTAGGCCTAGCCAGAAAAAACCCTAAAGGCGAAGAGCTAAAATTCAGCCTCACTCCCCTACACTATTGGGTTGCCTTTAGAACCTTTGTGCATGCTATCCTGGCTGCTGGAATACTAATCGCTCCTCTGTCTGATTTATGTCTGTCTATTCATTCTTTATATCCTAAAGCAAGTATCTTTTCTTCAAGGAAGCCATTCCTAATGTGCTCAGACTCCCTACCATTGGCTCACATACATAGCACAAATTCCACCTCTATATTATACTTGACCCATTTGTGATTTCTATTTAGCTGAAAGATTTTTTTTAATGCTCTGTCTCTAACAAAATAAGGCCCAAGACAGCAGGATCTATGTTGATTTTTTTTGTTTCACCATTTTATACCAGCTCCTAAGACAGTGTATGATCTACAGCAAATACTCGTAAATATTTATTAAATGCATTCAGAATAAACAGGAAGAAGGGGTATCAACAGGAAAGTGAAAGTAACAGAATGGAGACTATATCTGATACAACTTGGCTTACTTCCTTCTTGAAGGAACTTGCTCGTCTTACTTCCGTCAGACATGAGGATAATCTGTCAATCATCCAGAGCCTTCTCTAAGAGTCAAGCGATGCAATACCATCTAAATAAGAAGGCCCATGTCAGTAGTGGCCCTTGGATAAGAACTGAGTAGATTCTAGTAAATTCAATGATTACTGGATTGACAAAAATGGGATTATTTATTAGGTTATCAATCTCATATATGTGATATATATGATATGAGCTGAATGACAGGCAATGAATTAAAGAGATAAGTCAGTCAAGTAAAAATAATCTCATGTATACAGAGGAAAAAAATGGCTTTTCATGGTAGCAGAATACATATAAATCTAAAGGGGATATCATACTTGTGTTAAGTGGAAAATATGCATAGGATAGTATCTAGTAGCATCTTGATAAAGCTTCAGAGATCAAGCGAAACTATGCAATAATAGCTATGTGATAAAATAAATGTCATGAAAATAAAGATTTTTTAAAGCTATCTATGGTAACATCTCAAATAACTAGAATATTTTATAATTTGATTGTTCTGGTCAGCTGAAAATCAGGCTGCCTACAAGTTAAATGAAAAATACCCTTTTTGTAAGAGTTGTCATTAGAAATCCTCATAAGCTAGGTTAACTCAAGCCCCGTTTTTAATAAGAATAGTTCTATGAAGAAGCTGCTATTAGGAGACAGGCTAAGCCACACAGTAGAAAGAAGCTGAACAGCAGAGAAAGGTGGATCTGAGAGCTCTTTAGCAGGCTCTGGTGAGACCCTGGGCAATGGACCTAACCTTACTGACATTAGTTTCCTCAGCTGTAAGACATGAAATCATCGTTCCCTAGGATCCTTGCAAGACTTCAAAGCCTTTTAGGCATCTATTCTCTTCGTGACATCAGTGGGCTAAACTAAGACCTTTTCCATTTCTGTGATTTTATAGTTGGTTCTGTGATTTTTTTTTTTTTAGTTTTTAAATTTTAGTTGACACATATTATAATAATTGGGGTATCAAGTGATATTTGATACCTGCATACAATGTATAATGATCAAATTAGGGTAATTAGCATATCCATCACCTCAATCATTTGTCATCTGTTTATGTCGGGAACATACAAAATCCTCTCTTGTAGCTATTTGAAAATATATAATAAATTATTAACTATAGTTACTCTAAACCCTACAGTGTTGTAGAAGACTAGAACTTAAATCTAACTAGCTGTGGTTCTGTGATTCTTAAAGGTCTAAGTGAAGCAAAGTAAATCCAGCCCACAGGCATTTCCTTCACCCAATTTTTTGAATATTTAAGTATAAAATACAAAGACAGAAAACTGCAGATGTCATGAGTATATTGCACAATGATCTTTCATAAAATGAACACACATGTGATCAGCACACAGATCAAGAAACAGATCTGGGTGCCATAACCAGCACCCAGAAGCCTCTCCTACTCCCTGCCCCTACCTCCACACCAGAATAACCACTATTCTGATTTCTAATAGCAGAAATTTAGCTTGTTTTTATATAATACTTTATGTAATAGGAATAACACACTATGTACTGTGCCTTGTTTTTATTTTAACCCTGGAACACATTCCACTCACCTAATGCTGCTCTGGGGTTCTAGTGCAATAACATTGTTAAGAGCTGCAAAATTTAAGATGGATGAATGGAAAGGTGAAAAAAAAATAAGGAAATATGAAAGGTTGTTAATGCTAAAGAGCTCATTAAACTTTCAAAGGCTTGTTCTAACAGATATAATTAACTCTGTGACCACAACATAAATAAACAGTGTGCAAAGTCAAAAGTAGCTTAGGTTTACTAATACACGTATGTCAAAATTTAGACTCTTATCCTCTTCTCTACTAACACATGCGGTTGTTTTTTAAATACTTGCCTCTCCCCAGCCATTTTCTTTTCTTTCTTAATTCTTCCCTAGATGTCCATCATATATTCCAGCCACATATTCTCCAGTCTCTGCTTTTTCTGTCCTGATTTTAAAAATCAATAATAACATGTAAAAGAAACCCACAGAAATAGTAAGTCATATCCCTTAACCATGGGTAGAGAAAAAGCAAATTTTTAAAAACGCTGAATTGAGTTTTGACGACTCTGATTTCAGAACATAAAATAATTTTAAGCAAAACTTCTAAATGTAAACTGTGAATTAAAGAACAAATAAAGAAATACTAGCCCTCCATTACAATAGGAAATCTAATTTGGAAATACGCAGCATACAACTTACTTTATCAGATCAACTTCATAGTAGGTGTCAGACTTACTAGTTTTCTTAAGACAAAGATAAGCAAATCTAAACTATTTAAGAAAGAATAAGAAAAAAGGAAAGGAAGAAAGGCCTCTCACAATGATTTATTTGAAGACAGCTAAAGAAAAGTTACCTAAAGTGACTGAACCTTTCTTCTGGGGCATGCTTTGTTTTAATATGAAAATACAATTTCCAAATTAATAAACTACAGTATATGAAACAAGCCCATTATAAAGAAGTCTAGTAATTTGTGGCTTGAGGATTTCCCTTCTACTAGTCCTTTTTCACATTATTATTATTTTTTTCTTTTTTTAAAATCAAGACAGGATCTTGCTACATTGCCCAAGCCAGTCACAAATTTTTTCACATTATTTAAGTTCTTGTCATTGTTCAGATTCTATGGAAGCAGATGCTGAGATGGCTTATAGGGCGTAAGATATTTACATAGAAGACCTGTAAGATTTTATCAGATCTGGAAAGGAGAAGGAAGAAAGATCAGGAAGCATGAGAAACAACCATGAGGCAAATCCAATGTCTCAAACCAGTGGAGCACTCTAGAACAAACGCTGTCCATCAGAGTTGTCTAGTGCTGGGGTCTTAACTTAGTCATCAGATGTGAGGTGCCACAAGAGGGAGATGACTTTGGGAGGGCCAGCTCTGTGCAGCTGAAGCTGACCCTGACTGCTGGAGGCTCTCCTGACTGCCTTCCTTGGAGGGGCATCTGAATGGCCTATCTCTATGTCTGTTACAGTTCTTTCGTAGGACATGAGCTTAAAAAAAAGTTTAATAGGTTCAAGAAGCTGAGTGGGACAAACAAACAAAAAGATATAAATCAGAGCAACTCTAGGGTAAGTTCCTCTTAGGAATTATCTGGCTATGGACTGCTGCTTTGATAGATGAGGACACTGAGGCACACAGAGGAGGAAATCTGCCTAGTCACATAGAACAAACGTTCTTTGTGTTATGGAAAAACCTGTCCTTGGCCTGAATGTGGGTGACTCCCATTAGGATACGGAGTGATGGCACCATCCTGTGCAAGGACTAGACACAAATGAAGGCATTTTAATGATAGGTCTGATTTATGGAACACCTTTCTCTGGGGCAGCACTGGGAACTTGGCTAGCATGGGCTAATTAATCTTCACCATCTCCCTGTGAGAAAGGTGGGTCTCAAAGACCATTCCCCTAAATTAGGAGTCAGAAAGAATGAAGTACAAAAGGATTTCTGTAATTTTCCTATAATCATTCATTAAATTATGAAGTGCTGGAAGACCCAGGTATTTCTTAGCTCCCTGTTGACTACATTTACTGAAGCAAATATTGTATTTTACTGATAGTCATATTTAAGCTATATTTCTTTCCCTTTATTCTTCATATTATGTGCAATACTTCTGTATAAAAAGTAAAAAATGAGATACACTGTGTGATATGGTTTGGCTGTGTCCCCACTCAAATCTCATCTTGAATTGTAGTTCCCATAATTCCCACATGTCAGGGGAAGGACCTGGTGGGAGGTAACTGAATCATGGGGGTGGTTACCCCCATGATGTCATGATAGTGAGTGAGATCTCACAAGATCTGATGGTTTTATAAAGGGCTTTTCCCCCTTTGCTCAGCACTTCTCTCTCCTGCCGCCATGTGAAGAAGGATGTGTTTGCTTCCCCTTCCACCATGATTGTAAGTTTCCTGAGGCTTCCCCAGCAATGTGGAACTGTGAGTCAATTAAACCTCTTTATGAATTGCCCAGTCTTGGGCAGTTCTTAATAGCACCATGAAAATGGACTAATATACTGTATATTCTTCATTTTCAGTGCAAAGATAGTGAGTGACATGGCCAGTCCCAAGAAAACATTCACTAATCCCAGAAAACTTCAAGATTATTTTGAGTAACAAAATCTCACCTCAAATTTTATGCTGAGTTAATTCCATGCTATAAAAATAAGTGATCATAACTGCAGGGGCAAAGATCATGGATAAAGACACCCAGACAATCCACTATTTAATCAAACTCTCTACTGATATTTAAACGACAACTGAAATATGAATATCTTATTTAAATGACTTCTGTTTTACATATGCCAGTAACATATTCAATTAAAAAAAAAAAACAGCCTTTTCCAGTTCCATTTTGTCATTTGATTAGTTTGTAATTCCAGTTTGCTGGTTTCTCCAGCACAAAGTATGTCTGTACTCAAAACTGACATTCTCTACCAAAATATACTAGAAAAAGCATGGGATACAGGAGCAGTGGACCTGAGTTTAAATCCTATTCTACCCCTTCCTTTCTGGGGAAATTGCTAAGCTTAATTTTCCATGCATATATGATGGAAGATGATAATGCTGTACAGGTAACTGCAAGAATTAAATCAGATTACATATGTTAAACTTTGCATCACAGAATAGGAGCTAAATGTTTTAGCTGTTTTGATAGAAGAGGAAGAGCAATCTTCAGTTTTAATTTATTCATTTTTTAAAAAATTGCCACATATAAACTGCTTTAAGAGGAAAGTATATGAGAAATTTATAAAAATGTATTTTTATATGAGAAAAATTAATTTCTCATATAAATTTATAATTTCAAATTTTAATTTATTAAAAAGTCACTCAGACTTTTATAAATTAAATTTTAAAATGTAGCTTTATTTATTTTTTCAAATATCAGAATATTATCATTCACCATTTTTATGCATTTCCAAAATTTATAATGAGGACTTTTTCTTCTTTTGGATTTGAATCTCTCATTTACTTCAGTACCATTCAGACTTCAACTTCTGTTCAAGACTGAAAAAAACTGTAATGCAATTATGAGTAGGCCATTTCTTCCTTCTTTCTCCTCTACTCCAACTTAAGTACCTAGAATCCTCACATAATCTCCAATCTTTCTCACATCTATTTTACTAAAATTATGCAAAAACCTATAATTTGATATTTATCTTATTTAAAATTAGGAATTGTATCATCTTAGCATTTGGTTCAGTAAACACATGAAAAGTGTTCCTTTACAATGACTATTATTCTAAGCAAATGTTTTAAATAAAATATTCCTCAATTGAAGTCAAAATTAGTCATCGAAGTTTTGCTGGATGAAATAAGGACTAAAGTACATGGGGCCCTATGACTATAATAAACCCATCTGCATTCACTGCTTTACTTAGATAAATAAAAGACTCATAGTTTCATCATGTTCAATCATCTGCTAGCTACCCTAAATACATTTGAGTCACATGATCTATAATGCAGAAAACAAATAAAAAGGTATTTGGAAATTAGTCAATGCTCATCCAACATCTGAAAACTGCCTTTCTAAATTAAAGTGAAGAGTGAATAAAAATCTAAGGAGCAAAATATTTTAAACACAACTAATATGTGTTATCTTACCCTATTCATGACATTTAATTGGTGATCTCAACTCCAGGTAATAGGCTGTGTGCACTTATTTTTCCCCACCCACCTCCTATCATACACAGACAAAAGAAACTATCTCAAGTGGGTGTAATGGTTCAGTTTCAAGCATTTCAAAATCCTCCACCACCTGCACAGGAAACTGTGACTGAAAACCAGACAGGGCACCGCAGAGCAGCACTGATGATACAGGAACATGGCTGAGAGGTGAATCTGGTTACTAGACAGTTGAATGAAATCAGCAGAGGGGAGATGGTACTCCCAATGAAGAGCACATGACACTTAAGGGCAAATAAACACCACCATACAATGAAAGAAGCACCAAAACCGGAGTTACTTATTAAGTGCTACGGAAACACAGATGAGAGAAAATACAATTTTACAACAATGCATAAAAGAGTTGTGAAGGCTGATATGGGCTTTGAAGAATAAATAGGCGTTTTCTGGGTAGAAAAAGATGAAGTAAATTTCAGATAAAAGGAATAGCATGATTAACATCACAGAGTCAGAAAACTATCTGGAAGGTTTGGAGAACAGCAATAGTTTGATATACTTGTCTGTGGATAACAACCTCAAATGTGAGCAGGGAAAAACATAAAAAGCTAACAAATTAATCCTGTGCTAATATGTTAAGATTTTCTGCTGCAGGAAATATCGGTTTTGATCAGAGGCACGAGGAACCAGATTCTGTGTGCAACACAATATAGTAGTTAAGAGTATAGATTTTAGAGTTAGACTGCCTGGGTTCAGACTGACTTTACCACTTAGGATTGTTTCTGACCTAGAGTGAGCTTTTTGACCTCTCTGTACCTCAGTTTCTTCTTTTGTAAAATGAGGATGTTAACAGCACCTACCTCATGGAATTGTTGAGAGATTTATATATAAAAAGTTAGAACAGTGCCTGGCATATAGGAAGCAAGACAAAACTGCTGGCTATGAATGCTGTTTTTGAAAATCAGGGTTGATGACACTGTGGAGTACACAATGGAACCAGAGAATGAAAGTCTACAGGCAGGGACTTCAGTTAGAAAGCTAATGAAAATTGTATCTGTAAAAATTAAATGCATCTGTGAGTACATTTCTTTGTAGAGATAACCACATTGGATAGCCATGTATCATATAAATTAACACGTCATACAAAATATATTTACATAAAAAGTCAGACACATGTATGTATGCATGTGTATGTATCTCCAAATCTCTTAGGCAAACTCATATACATGCCAGAATATAAGACATAAAAACAAATATACTCCCTACAGACAACCTTGTATGTACTGTATGTATAATTATAATTTCAAATTTAGTAAGTTGGAAGGTAAATGACTGAAAAGAATGATTGCTTTTTTCTTCTTTGTGTAACAGAGGACTTGCTCAGAACAAGGGAAGAAGATGACTATGCAGCTGCTCGGTAACAGCGTCTAGTCACACTCTGAGATACTGAGGTCAGCAAGAACAGAGGATGCACACTATGTCCCATCTTGCCTTTCTGCCCAGAAAGTCTCAGTTACTGGAAAAGCTTCAGAAATATTTACCAAAAAATCCATTTGAAATCCTGAAATTCTACTTCTCAGAAAAACAGTATTACTCTTGTCTAGAAATAACATTCAGGCCTCAAAGTGCTATACTGTCATTACTTCTAAAAATAAACTGAGCAAATCCAAGTCTTGAGGTCAGTTTCAAATAATGTGCTGCAGCAATGACACAAGCAACAGCTCCACTCTGTCCCACTGGAGGCAGTGCATTCCCTGAGGGCTTGAGAGCACAGGCCTGCTGCTCCTCATCTCTCCCTGGAAAGAGCTGGCAGCAGATGACCAGACAGGCCTCTAAGGCAGAAGGTACTGAGCAAAGTCCTTCTCTCTTTGTTGATTCTCTTTAGTAAGGCACCTGGAGAGAGTAAACCAATGATAGGAGGGAGTCGCCAATCCAGCAGCCTCTCCAGATGGCAGCTCAATTTTTCTCCTAGCATCCTCTAAATGATTTTCTAAGACCACCATCATGTGTAAGAATGCTTGATACCACCTTATATCATTTGAACAGATACAAATGACTTACATTTCAGACTTCTTTTTTTTTTTTTTTTTTAGACAAGGTCTTACTCTGTCACCCAGGCTGGAGTGGAGTGGCGCGATCTCTGCTCACTGCAGCCTCTGCCTCCCAGGGCTCAAGCAATCCTCCCACCTCAGCCTCCCAAGTAGCTGGAACTATAGGCGTGCGCCACAACACTTGGTAATTTTCATATTTTTTGGTAGAGATGGGGTTTCACCATGTTGCCCAGGATGGTCTTGAACTCCTGGCTTCAAGTGATCCTCCCAACTCAGCCTCCCAAAGTGTTGGGATTACAGGCATGAGCCACTGCACCTGGCCACATTTCAGACTTTAAATAGGAAACACATGAGCCCGTGAAAGGTAATAAATTAGGTGTATAAATTATGAAAAATTAGAGAAAAACAAAATTAGGTAATATTACAAGAAGTGACAAGTAGAGACATTTTAATTTTATGTCAATGTAATTAATTGATGCTATAATATAACCAATGCTATTTTTGAGAGATAGGGCTGATAATATTGTGGAGTATGGAACCAGAGAATGAAAGTCTACAAGCAAGGGCCAGGCACGGTGGCTCATGCCTGTAATCCTGGCACTTTGGGAGGCTGAGGTAGGTGGATCACTTGAGGTCAGGAGTTCAAGACCAGCTTGACCAACATGGTGAAACCCCCGTCTCTACTAAAAATACAAAATTATCTGGATGTGGTGGCGCATGCCTGTAATCCCAGCTACTCGGGAGGCTGAGGCATGAAAATTGCTTGAACCTGGGAGGCGGAGATTGCAGTGAGCCGTGATCATGCCTTGCACTCCAGCCTGGGCAACAGAAAGAGATTCTGTCTCAAAAAAAAAAAAAAGTGATAAACTAAATAAACGAATAATGAATAAATGCCAAGTCACTAAAATGTACTTGATTCTAAGCAAGATATCTGCTATTAAAACTTAATTTTTATCTTGAAAGAAATGGGAAGAAATTATCAAAATATTTTCAGATAATAAACTCCAAATAACTGATATTTATCTACATAGAAAGTTGTCCTTTACTATCTTTGTAGTAGTGTCTTCTACTATGGTTGTAGTAGTGTCAGTGCCTGTACTTTTTCTCAATTCTCTGTAAAAATACCTAAATATTGTTTACATATCTGAAAAGGTACAGGGACATACCTATATTCCCAAGTTTTCCCTTACAAAAGTAATTAACTTTTTATTTCTCTGCTTTGCTAGCAACAAAACTCTCAAAATCTTAAGTAAGGTACCCTTCTAATTGCCATAATAATTCAAACATTTCTTTAGGACCTCTAATTGTAAGAGATGATTTTTATTACACCTTTGATGCATTAATTTTTAAATTTAAGAAGGAAGCACACAGCTTACTTTTGGAATAAATTTCCTCCTGGAGTAATCAAGAATTTTGGAAATTAATTCTGTAAAAATTGTGAGCCACAACCCAAGCATCTGGAGTCCTACAATGCTCTCAATATATTTTTAACATGATCATTGAGAAAAAAGCCATCAGCCCTTATTTCTCAACGAGAGCCATTCTCATCCATAGTGATTAGTGTGAGATTTTACGCCAAGCTTTCATGAGTTTTAAGACAAACTTATTAAGCACCTTTCTTATTTACAATACAGGTATGTGTATACACACACACACACACACACACACACACATACACTTCAAGTTGCTCAATTTTAAAATAAAGATATCTTTTAAAAATAATATAGGTAGAAGGGACCAAAAAATGTAGCTCCAAAATGTAAAACTCCAGATTCATGGATATAAGTTTCCCAGGAAGGAAAAAAAATCAACTATGTATATAATAAAATGTTTGCAAAATTCACCTGGTAACCAGCCATGAGCACATGCATTCTCTTCTTTGAACTGATATGGTCGTGACCTTTCTAATCTGAGTATGGAAAATTATTAACCTTCTTCTCCCTTCCCCATTTGAAAAAAATAATTTCAACAGTCCTCATGTTAGATTTCCATTCAGGTGTTACTGAAATGTAGGAAAAACACATATTGGAGTATGTGGTAACCTTTTTATATGTTCCCAAGTAAAACCCATAGCAATACAATATTCACACAAAATGGGTGATGGGATGTTTTTTAACTTACTAACCATCAATTGATCTTACATGTCATTTTCTGTGGCTTGTGGTCACAAACCCTCTTCTTAAGGGCAAGCGAGGTCATCAATCAAATCCAATTCAGATGGCTTAACCAACTAGCATGCAAACACTGACAACCTAAATATCTGTTAGGCCTTTTATTAGGTGCACTAGTGACTGACATGGACCAATGGACACTGCCCTCCAACTCGAAATCAACAAGTCAGACAAAGGGTAGTAATATAGTTTGCTACAAGAAAAGAGCAAGTTTGTCTTGTGACTAAACAAGGAAACTTTCGGTCTCTAAGGGTTTTTATCTGGCACATCCTTCATATGAAATAACAAACTCAAGAATTCCTTGGACACCCAACCACCAGTTGAAAATGGGGAGCTTCTGACTGTTCTTGCCAGTAACATAAAAGCAGCCAAATACAAATGGACTGTTTTTATTCTCCTTTGTCTTTAAGATGAAATATTAAATCATCAGGCACCCTACCTGTTTCCTACATCCCTTCTTGGTTCAATCATCACAGAGAATCTTGTGCAAACATTATAATTTTAAGATACTTCTCTGTTACAAAATGATACATGAATTATAACTAATAAAGCAGTACACAGAATAATACTTATATTTGCAAAATGAAATACACACACGGAGAGAAATAAAACATTCACTAGGTAGATCAGGCTCAGCAAAATAAAAGCATTTAATTCTCTTGATTACTAAATAATGACTGATTTTCCATGGTTCCTAAATCTGAAAAGGCCTTCCAGAAAATTCTGCCCTCCAATGTAATCTATCAAAACTATATCTGTTGCAAAACAGTACAAAATTCTTGCCATCCAAAAGCAGCATGAAGCAAACTAATGGATCTCTCCTTAAGATTATGTATCTGCCAAACGTGTGTCCCTCACAAGGAGGTCTGTGTGTTCCCAGAATTTCATCTGGTACTAACCTCATTCAAAAGGTCTTAGAAGCTTTAGTGGGAGGGAAGGTGCATTCACCTTTCTAACTATGCCCAATCTTTAAATATGTGAAAATAAAATAGCTTTTCATCATTTTTCAGTTAAATGACATGCTCTCTGTTATATGTACTTGACATTAAAAATGGCATAGTAACCTTCATCTATTTACAAAATTATTACCTTCATACACGTTTCTAAAATTTGTGTCTCTAGCCTGCACTCTGTTCTGATTTCTAAACACTTCCAGCTGCCAGAGGTCCATCTCCAGATGGCTGTCCTATGAGGCACCTCAGAAGGACCCTCCACAGAACAGAACTCATCCTCTTCTAGTTCCTATTGCCCCAACTGATTTCCTCACCTTTAACTCCTTGGTTTCCTTCATCCCTGCATTCAGTCACAGAATTGCCAACTTCCGGACCCTATATATCTCTGAAGTCCATCACATCTTTGCTTTCCAGTTTCCACTAAACGAGGCCACCTCATTATTGCTTCTTGTCTGAAAAGCTAAGAGAGATTTTTAACTGTTTTCAGTCTGTCTCAAAATCAATCCTATACCCCAAAATGACCATTGAAGAAAAAAGAGCAAAAACAGATTAATATACAAAGAAGATGCAAAAAAAAAAAAAAAAAAAAAAAGGAAAGAGCACACTAAAAAAAAAAATGATGGCCGGGTGCAGTGGCTCATGCCTGTAACCCCAGCACTTTGGGAGGCCAAGGCGGGCAGATCACGAGGTCAAGAGATCGAGACCATCCTGGCCAACATGGTGAAACCCCATCTCTACTAAAAAAATACAAAAAACTAGCCGGGCATGGTGGCAGGCACCTGTAGTCCCAGCTACTTGGGAGGCTGAGGCAGGGGAATTGCTTGAACCCAGGAGGCGGAGGCTGCAGTGAGCTGAGATTGTGCCACTGCACTCCAGCCTGGCAACAGAGCGAGACTCCATCTCAAAAAAAAATGGTTAAAAGGATAAATTAGAACAAAAAAGAAGATTATTTTCCAATTAATTTCCTACTCTTGTCAATCTCTCAGAAAGCTGACTTCCTCCAGCATGAACAAAGCTGTTTGATGCTGAGAACAAGAGAACTCTCCAGTTACATTTGTTCCTGCAAATCTCCACTCCAGAATCTGTTTCATGCAGAACCCAACCTAAGATTCAAGGTCTGTAAGTTCCTATTAAACTAGCTACTCCCTGTCTCTCCAACCTTATTTTATTCTACTTTCCCTTTTGTTCATGATACTCCAGATACATTAGTGCCCTTTCTTTGCCTCCATCCTGTCCTTCTTATTCTTTCAGAAAGTTTGCACTTCCTTTTTTCTCTGGCTTAAATATTCTCCCCTTGCTTTTTCCACGGGTAGCTTGCTCAAATGTTACCAATTCATCTTCCCTTACTGTTCTTTCTCAAGCAGCCCCACTATCATTTTATTGATTGGAATCACATCACTTTTGTTATTTCCTTCATAGCACTTACTACAATCTGAAATTATCACATTTTATCACAAGTTTGACAACTTGTATAAAAGAAATCTGTTCTCATGCCCTACCAGTTTTCCATTCCCACTAGAACACTAACTTCTTGAAGGCAGGGAACACGTTGTCTTGTTTACCACTGTTTCTTCAAAGTCTAGAAAAGTGCCAAACACATAATGAACACTCAATAAATATTTTTTGAACATATAACCAAGCTACTATGAAAGAATTAACATTAAGTTTGAATACCACCAATACCATGGTGGGCGAATAGGTGACATAAGAGAACCTCCATGAAAAATGACAAAATGAAGCCAGATCAGGCAGGATAAAAGGAACAAAAAGTAGCTCAAACAAAGAAAAGAACAAAACTTAGCAAACCTCAAAATTTGATGACCAAGGAAAACAAAAGAAAATTCTTGAACAATTTAACATGATTTATAATTCACCTCCAATGCAACCCTACCTCCATTCCTGAATTCATACTACTGAAGATGTTGGTAAAATTGTGATGGGAGAACACAAGGTCACAGGTCCATAACTTCTACTACTCGGACCAATAATACATCTCATCTGAATTCCTATATTAGCCAAGAAAAAAAATCTATGGAAGGAGGTCCCAGGATGTTTAAGGAGGTAATTTAAATTAAAAAAAATGAGCTCCCAGTTGTGGGCACAAAGGTCCCCCTGAGCAGATGTGTTCCTACACTGATCTTTAGTCTTATGCCTCCAAACAAGTATCATCTTGGATAAACTGAGGCAACAGTATTTAATTATACATTTTATTATTATTAAGAGCCAAAGTTGTATTTTCAAAATATCTACTAAATGATGTCTATATTATTGCACATTTCCCAACTTCCTTATCTTTTTGCCACGTATGATGATTAGACTTCTCTCCCATTTAAAAATATCTCATGCTTTCTTACTAATGTTGAACAATTTCCAGATCAGTCCTGGGCAAGTTTTAATTTGAATTAATGTATTCACATATTCATTGATTTCATTATGCACTGTGCAATTTGAGAGATTTATAAGCTACTGTGAGACTAAAATTCAAAAATGGCTGTTCTGTATTTATTAGTTTCCACATAGTTTGGGGCCAGTTGTCTTCTCTTTCTGAACACTTCTCTTGATAACAGTAACAGATCACACAGGAAATATGAGAGATTGTTTATGAATGCCCTGAGACCCAAAATGCTTAGACATAAACTAAGATTAATTTATTGCACTAAAGAAGTAATTACAAGCAGAGTAATTAAGATTCACAATTGTCTTGGGATTTACAACACAGAATATTCCTTAATAGAACACTCTGGATCTATAACAACCAGAATCCATGACAGCAATTCACCACCATCACTGTCACAAAAAAGATACTAAAGGGTAGAACACCCTCCATTAATATTAAAAAGACATACGTCACCCATTACAACACTTTGGCTGAAAATCTACAAGACTGAAAACTCTACCTAGTTTGCATGGAGTGTTAGATTTAGTTACCATACTTGCTCTACCAATAGTTCAGAACATGAAGGTATATACTTTAGATTACAGCTATCTGTGCCTCCTGAATTGGACAACTAGCTGGAAAGAAGTGCACATGCTAATGGAAGGAATAAAGGTAATGCTATCTGGCTGAGTAGATTTTCCTGAGCTACAATCATTCTACTGATATATCTAAATCTAAAAGGAGCAAATGGGTCAGGGGCACAGTGGCTCACACCTGTAATCCCAGCACTTTGGGAGGCCAAGGTGGGCGGATCACTTGAGGTCAGGGGTTCGAGACCAGCCTGGCCAACATGGTAAAACACCGTCTCTATGAAAAGTACAAAAATTAGCCAGACATTGTGTCGAATGCCTGTAATCTCAGCTACTCGGGAGGCTGAGGCAAAAAAATCACTTGAACCTGGGAGGCAGAAGTTGCAGTGAGCTGAGATCACACCACTGCACTGCACCCTGGGCGACAGAGAGACTCCATCTCAAAAAATAAAAATAAAAATAAAAATAAAATGAGTAAATGTTTCTGAATGGTTGAGGAAATCCCACCAAATACATTTGCCACACTATTTAAATGGGTGGTGAGGGAAACTGGCCAAATTATGCAATGAATCTTCTGTGAAGTGTGGCCAATGAATATAATTCTGTGTTGTGCTTTAATGAAATTTTCTTCCTATTCCTGAGAAAAGGACAAAGAAAAATAGCAATACATGAGAAGAAGAAAGTCAACCATGAAACAGTTACGAGCAAGAATTAAAATGCTGCTGAGGAAACCACTGAATAATTTAAGAGTTCTTGCTAAGTGCCTCAATCTTCAACCTCTTGTTCTCTAAGAGAAGATTATCTCTAGCACTCAAGGTTCTTTCATAAATTCCAGGTGCCTTGTGTCTGCAGAAGAGTTCTCAACTGACCATATTTCTTCCATTCCCAAATCAAAACACCAATTCATCCCTACCTAAGGAGAATGCAAACAGTTATCCTCAGACCTCCTGATAAAATATATTTAAAATAAGTAACATCAATTTGATATCGTTCACTACATTAAAATATGGCCATAATTTTCTAAGTTTGTGAAAATTTTGAGTAATATTAAATTGTGATTATTTACATTTACATGGTACTACTGTAATTCCTGTTGCCCTAAATATTCATACAAAACATACATGCACAAAATATTTGGGAATAGGGAATATATCTATACATATATTCATACATACATATTCATATATTCATACATACATATATTCATGCATACATATTCATATATCATACATACATATATTCACACTATTCATATAGTCATACATACATATATTCACACATATTCATATATTCATACATACATATAGTCACACATTCATATATTCATTCATACATATTCATATATACATACATATATTCATACATACATACTCATACATACATACATATATTCATACATATTCATATATACATACATATATTCATACATACATATTCATATATACATACATACATATTCAGTGTATATATCTGTGTGTGTGTGTATCTATCTACCTATCTATCTATCTTGATATATTCCCTGGATACAAGTATATACATTTTACATTATTCTTAGAACTATTATCTTCATAGACTATCACTTAAAACAAATCTTTTCAAGTTCTATTAATATAATTTGCAGAACTGCTTATAATGGTTTTCATAAAGACACAGAGTTCATGAAAGTTCTTACTTTTACTTCCGTATTCAGGCAAAAACCCACAGGAAGTCATTATGTTCCCTCTGACCTACAGGAGATGTAAAAAATAAATAAAACAAGTCTACAGCAGGTACTAGAAACTGGTACTAAGCCAACCTTTCTGAGGGATACTGTCCATAGAATGGAAGGCAAGAAGTATTCTGAGTAAGGGGTCATAAGAAAGCCAGTCCTAAAATAATCTCCTCAAGCAGCAGTCCTGGCCTGTGTGGTTTCATTACGTTGTCAGAACCAACATTTGTACAGTTTATGAGCCCCAAAGCTCCCATAAAAAATTCCTAGGAGACCAGCCTGGAAGTCAAGAAAGCCAAAGAGGGCCTTAGCTAGTTCTGCTAAATTCCAAAATGCTAACAGATTTTTTTTTTAGACTTTATTAGTGTAAAGCATTTAAAATATTGCGTTTTATTGGTAGCTTCAGTTAAGACCTTGCTAAAGATTAGCTACTCACTTGCCAAGACCCAAATACTCCTCAAACTCTGATCCTCACAGAGAAAAAGGAAACATCAAGTAAAGGCAGCAAGTGTCAGAGGAGAAAGAACTAATGCCCTGTTTCCCTTCTCTTTGTGTCTAATTGTTTCTCATATTCCCTGCATTCCACCTGGGATGGAAATGTTTGTTTTTTGAAAGGTTAGTAGGGATTTATTGGAAATTTTCGCTCAGGACCTAATAACTTAAAAGATCTGCTGTGAAATCTGAGGACAGATATGGCTATCACCAAACACAAGTATAAAAATAAAACAATATTTTACTATCAATAAAAATGCTTTCATTTGTCTAGATTAAAATTGTTTGGAGATTACTGAAAGGTAATTTTTTTTTACTTTTTTACACTATCTAAATAATATTTTCTAATTTTCATGTCTATCAAAATGAACCCAAATAGGAAGACATATCTGCCACAAACCATTCTATAAGCATTCCAAAGCTAAATAAAAATGAATTTTAATATATCTACTCACTTATTCATGCTAGAGTAGCATTACCAAGCAAAAACCAAAACACTCCTCCTCTATATACAATCTTCTCATGTTTGTTAGTCTTAAAAACCTCACATGAAAATTAAAGACGCATTCATTATCCATATCAGCTAACCAGTTTATCTAGGGGTAGGCGGATTAATACAGGGGTGTAAGAAACAGCCAATTTGCTCAGAGAATGGAAATACCATATGATATCATCTGACCTCAAACTTTAGGAGTTTCCCTGACCCCCAGATTAATGGAGCATCAAGATACATTAAAGACTTCAGGAAAAGGAAGATCTAGTTTCTTAGCCACTGATGATTTATTAATGAAGCATTAACACAAACTCATTAATGCTTTCAGCTCTTGCAATGAAGCTGCCCTTTATTAAGTGCCTCCAATGTGTTTATGTTTTGAGAAGTTAATAATTAAGAAAAAAGGCATCGTGCACATCACTAAAAAATGCTTTATCTATGTCTCATAAAATAGCTATCTCTATGAATGAAAAAGCCAAGAATGGAGTTTATAAGAGGCTCTTATTTGGGGAATGTGGGTCACATGTTCACTAACTTTAGTGAGAAGTGGGAGGCAGGTTTGACTGGAACATTGCCCAAGATTATCACCAAAACCTGTGGGGTATTGGACAGATAGGAGGGGCAGATCCCCTTTGCTGTGCACTCTATCTTACTCTGTGCTTCATCCCATCCATATATGATAAAAAAGAAAGTAATTTATAAGAACATTGTCAAAAATGTCAAAAGATCAGTTTTAATAAGCTTTTCCTTATAAGCCACACCATACAACCCAAGGCACAATTCAGTGCTATCATACATTGTGCTCTAATTGGTTTACTACGTGAGACCAGGCTTTCTACTAATTAGCAAATTTTTTGAGGCCAGAAACTTTTAGTAATATTTCTCTTATTTCATTCTCAGTACAGGTACACAGTGTTCTTTAAGTGTTTATAGATTGATTCATGAATTATTAGCATATGGTTGATGGAAAAATAAATACTGCTAATAAAAGGAACATGAAAATAAGTTTCGCACTTTCTATTTAGAACATGATTTGATCACAACCTAATAGTCACCAAGAAGATGCTGTCACCTCACTACAATAAGCACTTACTCTGATTACATCACGAAGTGAGAAAAGAAAAGTACAATGTTCCTCCACATCTCCCAAGCTGGATGATAACTGTCAATACTAACTTCTGCCTTGGAATTTGTGGGATGGGAAGATAGGTAAGAAGAGTAAGTAAAATAAAGAAAAATAAACTAAGGGGGGAAAAGGAATGACAGAAGAAATTTTGAAATAATTTCCTATTCAGTCTCAGTGATTCAAATACTGTATATTGACAAGCCTGAATTTTTATCTCCAAATTTGACCTCTCTACTCCTCCCCTGAATTCTGGACCATATCCAAGGGTCAACTCTCTATCTCCATTTGAATGTCTAAAAGGCATATCAAATTTAACATGACCAAACTTAGCTCTTGTTCCTTCCCACCAAACCTATTGTTCCTGCAGTTTTCCCCATCTCAGTAAATGACAATTCCAGCCTGCTAAATTGCTCAGGCCATAAACCTTATCTTTGAGGCAATTCATTCCCTCACACCCCATTTTCAATTTGTCAGCAGCTCCTATGGGGTCTGCTTTCAAAATATAACCAGAATACAACTACTTCTCACCACCTCCCCTACAACCACCTGGGTCCAAGCCAGCACTGTCTTACCTGGATCACTTCAATAGCCTCCTAATTTATCTCCCTTCCTTTCTTGCAGTTTACTTTCAACCAAATTTCAACCAAGTAACCAGATTGACCCCATTGCCTCCTAAGACAGATAACATTATCCCTGCACACAAAACCTTCCAAATGGTCCCCATCGCTCACAGTGTAAATGATACAGCTCTTGCTATGATCTGCAATGCTATGTATGAGCTGTGCCCCTGCCCCTTACCTTATCTTCTATTACTCTCCTCTGACTCACTGCTCCAAACACACTGGTCTCCTTGCTTCTCTTTGAGCATATTACGTATGCTACTAACTCAGGACCTTTGCACCTCCTGACAACTCTTAGGAAGCTCTTGCCACAGATATCCACATGGCTATTCCTTTACCTCATTCAAAACTTGTCTCAAATGCACCATACTAAGGGAGGTCTTTGCTAAGCCATCATATTTAAAATTGCAACGCACACCACTTGACAGACAGACACACAGACACACAGACACACACACACACACACACACACACACACACACACATACACATATACTCCTTAGCCCCCTTCCCTTGCATCATTCTTCTCCACAGCCCTATTACCATCTCACATACTTCTAGTTTACTTAGGACTGAAATGTAAGCTCCATGGAGGTAGGCATTTTCTTCTGTTTTGATCCCTGGTATATCACCAGGACCTAGAATGGTGTCTAACACATATAACAATCAATAATTATTTTTTATTAAGTTGGTGGATCCATTAAGAAGCAAGAGAGATGAATTAAAGTCTCTACATAAAAAATCACCCAAAATCAATCTTCAGTCATCTCCCTGGTCTTCTCAAGGGTTGTTATTACCCACCTTCTAATATCTATTGATAATAGCTATTAGGTAAGTGTATTTGTAGGGGCCAGGAGCAGCCCTTGCCTTCTCATCTTCATCACGGATGAGATAAAATATACACAGAAGCCGCACAGTAATAATGGCTAACATTTGAATGCTTACAATATGCCAGGTACTGTTCTAAGCACTTTAATAGATTACTCAATCCTCACATAATTCCAAAAGGCAGGCTTCTCTTTCATTCTTTCCCAGAGGAGGGAACTGAACTGTAGAAATTTTAAGAAACCTTCACAAAGCTAGGAAGTAGAAGAGTCAGAATTCTAACTCAGGTCATCTCTCCAGAGGTCATGTTCATATCCCCTGCATCTAATGGAAAGATGGTCCCATTAGGAGTACAGAGAAGGTAATGCATATGAACGTTTTGAGGTAGTATGAAAAGCAGCATAATAAGAACTAACACTTGGATATACAAAGAAGCACAATGTCCCTCAATGTCCAAGGAGTCTTGATTTGGTACAGGAAACAGTAGAGACCTGTTGCATCTGAGCCAGGAGGTCAGTCGTACTGGAAGAGGGTCTCACTATAGGCACACTAACTCTGGTCTCAAGGTTTTGAAGAAAGAAGGGAAGGCAAAATCTACATATGGAAACATGTATATGCAAGAGCATGGAGACAAAAAAGAATGTGTTTATTCACTCATTCATTCACTAGCCATTCTAAGCCTCCCATGCTATAGGCACCAGAGGCACTAAGAACCAACAGATAATCCCTGTGCTTAAGGACATAGATAGTTACAGAAGAATGATCAAGAAACCAGCCTAAATAGATGCAGTTTGTTGGAAAAGTGGAGGAAGAGCTTAACAGACAAAAAGGGAAGAGATTATGGAGATTTTCAAGAGCCAGGAGTTTGAATTTGAATGTAAAAATATATTAATTATAACTTTCTGAGGTACACAATAAATATTTGTTGAATAAAGGAAATGCTATTCTAAAATACTTTCAAACGCCTGGCCTACTATATATTTTCTTCTTTCTGTACTTGGATAACTATTGCAACAGAGGAAATCATTTGCTGACATCTCTCAACCCACCAATAATCTTGGAAAATATGAGAAGGAGTCTTTCTTACTATACTAAGCCAGTTCTTATGAGAAATGACTCATATAATACCTGTTTTAAGATACCTAAAAAAAATTCCAAAGCATAGATGATTTTTTTCCTCTGAAAATGACTCCCTCAAATAGAGTCCTTGGAATTAATGAAATAGCCCATTTTCTCCTTGAATTAAACTCCGAAGAACAAATGCAGAAGTCATGGTGTTTAAAAGAACCCACCTTCTTCCTTTCTGCTCACAAAACTAGCGAGTCACAATGTTTACTCTTCTGGATCACACAGGAGAAATCATTTATAAATGGCAGTACAGATGTTCCTCAACTTATTATAGAGTTACATCCCAATAAACCCATCAGAAGTTAAAAATATTGCTAAGTCGAGAATGCATTTAATACATCTAACTTAACTGAACATCACAGCTTAACCTAGCCTACCTTAAAACATGCTCAGAACACTTTCATTAGCCTACATCATCTAGCACGAAGCCTATTTTATAATAAAGTACTGAATATCTCATGTAATTTATTGAATACTACACTAAAAATGAAAAATAAAATGGTTGTATGGTTAATCAAATTACAGTTTCTATTCAATGTGTATCACTTTTGCACCATAATAAAGCTGAAAAATCATTAAGTCAAACCATCATGGATACCATCTATATTCCATATCAATGCTCTTATTTGACTCTTTTCTCATACATTGACTTGGACATGTAACCAAAGATCTCTCTGTGCCTCAAATTCATCATCCGTAAAATGGGGATCTCAATAGATGTACCTTGTACAGTTTCTGTGATAATTTAATGAGGAAAAGCACATGCCATATGTATACAGCAGTGTCTGGTCCATTGTAAGAACTCAATAAAATGTTAGCTATCCTCATTATTATTATCTTACACACTTTTATTTTCTAGTAGTTTGTATTTTAATTTAAAATATTTTACAAATATATTTACTGCTAAAACAACTCAAACAGTAGAGAAAAGAAAAAGTAACCAAGAAAATCCCTTCTTCTCCACCCCTGGCTCCTTTAATCCCATTCTCCAAAGGTGTTACCATCTGTCTTTCCAAACATATTTTGTGATAGGTATATGACATGTTGGATGAAAGAAGCTAATTGCAGAACAGTTTACAGAGTGTGATCCAATTTACATAAATTAAAAAATGGGTATATAGCTATATCACCTGTCATAAAACATGTCTGAAAAGACATGCAGATAGCAATTTCACTTTGGAGAGTGAAATTAAGGACGCCAGGGGTGGAGAAGAGGGGAATTTCATGTTCACTTTTTCTACATTTTTGGGATTATGTCCGGATAATAAATTCTAGAAGTATGCCTTCTGGAGCAATGGTTATATCTATATTTCCATTGGATAGATATTGCCAAATTGCCTAGAAGAAATGATGTTTCTCAGTGGTATTCCATCAACTGAGAACACATATAATGTGATCCCTGGGCTTATCTACTGGCAAAGGCAGCTAAAAGGGATTGACTGAGGAGCCAACCTGAACAGAGTACAGAAGAGGTTTGCTGGAAAATATCTGGGGATGGTATATCTCTCATAGGCCATGGAATTAAAGTAAAAACCATATGAAAAATGGCTACTTTGGTTTTGTTTATCTGATAGTTTTTTCTTTTGTTTAATATCTATGATACCACCCACATACCTGAACTACCAAGGCTTTACCTTTCCAGACAATGTATTCTCAGAAAAAAGTGACATATTTAAGTGCTATTGATTCCTTTAACATTATGTTGTGGATACTGAAGCATATAATCTAAGGTTTACTAAGAGGTCGGCTCTCACAGAACATCAACTAGAAGCTCTAGAAGACAGAGGACACTACCACGTTTCTACTCTCTTCCACTCTGCCCCACTTTCCAGTCACCCTCTATGCCTAATCAGTGATTTACATAATCTATAAACATTTTCTGCCCATCATCAAGAAAAATAATCAGATCAGATTTATGGGGAATAAAAAACAGCCCCACATCAAAATAACAAAACAAAACACATTGTGGGAACTCCAATATAGTATATACATAGTACATACATTTTGAATGTTGAGATTAAATTGTTCTAATGCAAACTGAAATAAACTCAATCCTATGTATCTGCATTCATTATGATATAAACATGTCTTAACTTGTATTTTGATAAACCAAGGCACTAACTTTTAAAAATAAATTTATGAGCAAAAGACAGTCATTCTTTTAGAAAACTACTAGGTACTTTGATAATACAAATGTTCCTTAGGAATTATGAGTCATGTTAAGAAGATAGTTCTACTACTTGTTTATTTCATTTCAAATGACTATGTACTTAAGCATCCTACATTCCTGCTTGTCTATAATATCTCCATCTGGTACTTTTTGAATATCAAATTTTACTAAATTGTTTCTGTGGAAACGCAAGTATGTAATATCCAACGGGCAACTAAATTGAATTTATTTCAGAGTTACTGATTAAAGCCAGTCAAGATTGAGGCAACTTTTCAAAAAGGAACCAAAGAAAACCTGCTAACTTTAAAGAGGCAACCATTTCCCTGCCCCCAAGAAGGGTTATGGGTTATTTTTAATAAGCTCATAATTGTATATTGTCCATCTTTACTTTTGTCAATAAAATTTAAGTAAAGTATATTCTACCAATTCATAATAAAGACCAAGGAGGGATAAATTCTTTCGGGTTGAGAAAAATCACCATATACTGACAAAATATTTATTTCTTGTTCAGTTCTCAAGGCAGTAACAGTGGTAAGAAAGTAGGCTATTTCAACTCCTGCTGGCTCTGTGGGCATGATTCTAAAAGGTAGTCTTGTGCCACACTTCCCAACCTTGTTAACAAAGGGCCCTCCTCCTTAGCTTTAAATAGCACTATCAAATAACCAACTCCTTCAAATTGAGAAAAAACAACAAAAATAAAAAAACACTTTCCTCAAAACCAGAGTAGTGTAAGACTGTGAAACAAACAAACACAGGAGGTCCCAGGTAAACTGCTTCAGCTACCTCTCTAGGGTGACCACACAGTTCACTTTCCCTCCTGACGCTGGCTGTGGGCAACTCTGTTTTCTCTGCAGAAAAGGAAAAGAAAGCAATCATAGCTAACTGGCAAGAATAGGCTCAGCTGTGTCTGCTGGTATTTGGAAAACTGGAGTGGGCAAAATGCCAGGCCACCCTTTAGATGAGCCTAGGACACCCTTGAAGGGTATCCTTCCTACCCTCTTCAGGAATAGACTAAGGGAAAGGAACCTGATCCATCCTTCAGGAAATATCCATCACAGTCCATCATCAGAGTAATTTCAAGTTCTCAAATTTCAACTAATAAGGTTTTAGTTAAACAACGTATTCAACTATCACTTACTGATGATGCATGAAATCAGGCACTGATAAAAAAAAATTAGCAGACAAATGGATATATTTTTCTTTAACAGTTTCTGTTCCCTATAATCCCATTTGTCTTTACTAGATTAATTCTTCTAAAGCACTGTTTTCTTCATGTCACATCCCTGCTCCAAAAGCTTTCTGCTGTCCCCAGGATAAAGCCTTTTGGGCAATCTTATAGCTTATCATTTCAAACGTAGACACTGTGGGCTATTCAGGTCATTAATCTCATTCACCTCCAAAAGAATTTTTTATTTTTTCCCTCTGTCTCTTTGTTTACTTAACTCTCAACAATTGGAATGCTATTCATCTTTTTGCCCATTGAAGGTTGGATTCTCCCAGTAACAGCAGACTCTGAGATGGGGTGTGGTATGCAAAATGTTGATTAGAGAATTCCCTTGGGATCAGAACCTCAGTAAAGAAGCAAAAGGGTGCAGAATTGAACAGGGAGAGAAGCTAGGCCAAAGCACTGGTCCAAGGAAAATTGGCCAACACCTTAAGGAGCTCTGGAGCTAAAATACAGAATCCCAAAGTTGTCTCAGGTTAGCTAAAATGATGGGACCTTCATACCTCCCCTGCCATTCGTCACTGAATATGGGCCACCCTGGGAAAGTTATGACCTTGGACAAGGGGCCTCTTTACAAAGCAGCTGAGACCGTACGTAGGTTTTATGTTGTTGTTGTTGTTTTGTTTTTTTTTGAAACAGGATCTCACTCTGTTGTCCAGGATGGAGTTCAGTGGCCTGATATGGCTCACTGTAGCCTTGTCCTCCCTAGGCTCAGGTGATCCTTTTACCTCAGCCTCTAGAGTAGCTGGGACCACAGGCATGCGCCATGATGCCCAGCAAATTTTTGTAGAGATGGGGTTTCACCATGTTGCCCAGGCTAGACTGGAACTCCTGGGTTCATGTGATCTGCCTTCCTCGGTCTCCCAAAGTGGTGACACTATAGATGTGAGCCACCATGCCTAGCTCAATTAGTAGTTCTTTGAAGGGGGATCTGGGGAGTGCATCACTATTTTATCACTCTTTTCTGCTCAAATTGTTCCATCCTTCAAGATCCCCTCTAGTGTACTTCTATATCATACAATGCCTGAATACATTCATAATACTGTCACTTAATAAAATTTCACTTCCATTATGTAACATTACTAAGAGGTTACTTTCACTAGAGTGTAAGATGCTAGAGGCTAAGGTCCATGAGTTCTACCCTCATAACTTCTTTAGAACAAGGGTAAGCAAACTTTTTTATATTAAGGACCAGACAGCAAATATTCTAGGCTTCGCATGTCACATACGGTCTCTGGTGCACATGCATTTTTTATTTACAATCCTTTAAAAATGTAAAAGTCATTCTTAGCTTACTGGCCATATAAAAACAAGACAGATATGGCCAAAGGGACCATCATTTGCCAACTTTTGCTTAAGAATAGCACTATTGAATGGAAATTTAATGCAAGCCACAAATGCAAACCACATATATAACTTTAAATCATCTGGTAGCCACATTTCAAAAAGCAAAAAAATATATAATTTTAATGGTATATTGTATTTAATAAAAAATATTCTTATTTCAACACGGAATTAATATGAAAATATTGGTTGGGCACAGTGGCTCACATCTGTAATCCCAGCACTTTGGAAGGCTGAGGCAGGTGGATTACTTGAGATCAGGAGTTCAAGATCAGCTTGGCCAACATGGCGAAATCTCATCTCTACTAAACATACAAAATTAGCTAGGCATGGTGGTATGCACCTGTAATCCCAGCTACTCAGGAAGCTGAGTCATGAGAACCCAGGAGGCAGAGGCTACAGTGAGCTGTGATTGTGCAACTGAATACCATCCTGGGTGACAGAACGAGACTCTTATCTTAAAATATATATATATACATAAGTGATTTTACATTCAAAATCTTGGAAATCTAGTGTGTATTTCATATTTACATCAAATCTTAATTCAGACTAGACACATTTCATTTTAAGTGCTCACTAGCTACATACAGCCAGTAGCTGCTATACTGGACGGCACAGCTAAAGAAAATAGGGGAGCATGTTTTGATAAATGTGAATTTGTTCATTTAAACAGTACTCACTGAGTTCTAGCTGTTGAGAATACAGATTGATTTGTGCTAAATATGAGAATACAGATTTAATAGGATTGAATTTTCACCCTCAAGTAGTCGAGGGTTCAGTGAGTGATACAGATAGATGATATAATAACAATGTGGTATATTAGTGGTGTAGAGAAAATGCTACAGTAAAATTTTAAAAATAGGTTAGGTCTGTTTTGTGTTTTTTGTGGCTTTTGTCTTAAGACAGGGTCTTGCTCTGATGTCCAGGCTGGATGGAGTACAGTGGTACAATCACAATTCACTGAAGCTTTGACTGGCCCAAACTCAAACAATTTTTCCACCTCAGCCTCCCGAGTAGATGGGATCACACGCGTGAGCCACTATGCCCAACTGACTTTTTTATTTGTAGAGATGCGGTATTGCTATGTTGCCCAGGCTGGTCTTGAACTCCTGGGCTCAAGCAATCCTCCAGCCTTGGCCTCCCAAAGTCTGACGTGAGCCACCACGCCTGGCCAGGGATTAGGTTTTAACTGGTCACCAAACCTATAAGAACTTCTTCAATGCACTGTTGATTCTTTAAAATCAAAATTTTTTAAGTTAAAATGTTTGGACTTTTAAAGATGTATTTCTTTTTACAAATACCCTCTGAATGAAGGAAATAAATTTGGGATGCAACAGGAATAACACTACAACTGGATAAGAAGTGCACAATCTTTCATGATGAATGGATGATCTATTTTATAGAAAGCACAAAATGGAGGGTGTATTTTCTCAAAGTATATTTTGAATTTCTGCCATGGTTGCAGCTTTCTATTTCTTATGACCTTTTTTTTTTTTTTTTTTTAAGAACCAGGTACTTCATGTGGCAAAATGATGGCTTCTTAAATCTCAAATACCTGAAAACCTTTTTGCTTGTTTTTGTACAATCACATTTTGTGATTCATCAGAAAACATAATTGATATAAAGTAGCCTTAGAAGCACAGTATTATTCTTAAAAAGAATCACAGGGCCTTCTTTCCCATAGTGTTTATCTGGAAGTCAGAGGAATACCAAGTGAAATTTAAGTATTTTCTATAAATATATAAGATTATCATTTCTATCAGTTCCCCTCTCAATAATCTAACAAGCTTCTCAGATTTTATGTCCTTAACAATTCTAGAATGAAAATAAGATAATCTGCAATTTTTTTTCCTTGTGCCTACTGAAATGTCATTATTATAAGCTATTTGATTGTACTGGGATATTCTGGCATATTTTACTAAAAAAATTGACTTTATTGTTTTATATAAGAACAAGAGAAAATTAATTTTCCTCACTAGCAATTTAAGTTTTATTATCCCAAATTCATTTTATTTAAAGCAAGTCCATAATCACATTTTATTCTTACTAGAAACACGTATATTGTAATGTATACCAACAGAGAATAAATGCACATTTAAATCCCATTAGTACTGTGGAACATCATCCTAATTTACTTGACATTTTCTGAGGAGAAAGGTTACTATTTGAGAAGGAAGTGAGAAGGGAGAGAGTGATTGCATTCACTCTTGAAAACAGTCATAGAACCTACAGATCCTCAGGAAAATTCAAATTCTCATACACACTATAAAGCCCACCGTGAATCCACAAAAGTTTATTTACTCTAGGTTAAGAACCTTTTCACTAAAAACTAGATCAAATTTATCAGTGAAAAATAAAGCACTGAAATTAAATGACCAAGAAGGTATTATTAACGAGGCTTTTACAGTTCTGGAAGTTATACTACACAAGAACAAGCTGCCTGAATAAAGTAAGAATTGTCAAAAGTTAGAACCAGGGTTAAACAAACTATGGCAGGTTAAAAAAAAAAAATGAAGAGCAGATTTCTTTGGCGCTCAGTTGCTGTTACCAAGTTATATTTAATCAGATATCAGGGTGGTTTCCAGAAATACCTCTTCCTCCTTAAAAAGTGGTAGATTCCGGCCAGGCACGGTGGCTCACGCCTGTAATCCCAGCACTTTGGGAGGCCAGGATCGAGACCATCCTGGCTAACATGGTGAAACCCTATCTCTACTACAAATACAAAAAAAAAAAAAAAATTAGCCGGGCGTGGAGGCAGGCGCCTGTAGTCCTAGCTACTCTGGAGGCTGAGGCAGGAGAATGTAGTGAACCCAGGAGGCGGAGCTTGCGGTGAGCTGAGATCACCCCACTGCACTTCAGCCTGGGGGACAAAGTGAGACTCCATCTCAAAAAAAAAAAAAAAAAGAAAAGTGGTAAATGGAGCCTAGCACTCCCTACTTCAAAAGCTTGTTTAGATGCCTCAGGTTCTCTGATTTCTGCATTCAGCAGCTATATACTCCACACTACAACTACCTACACACAAGGAACCACCCAAAGGCCTTTGCATTTGCTTTTAAAAGGTAGCCAGTATCTGGCCTTCAAGAAGGAGACAATGTAAGCTAGCTGGTCTTGAAAAGTTTTTAGTTCTGAACTAAGCGCTAGGTATATGAGAACATTCTGTACTATCTTTTCAGCTTTCTCATAAATGTACAATTGTTACAAAATAAAAAGTTTTAACAAATGTGCTCTTCTAAGAGACTATTCAAAGGTAGCTTTTGCTTTCTCCATAGATCTCCTTAGACTGGAGACTGTATTTTCTTAAAAATTGATAGTGAATGAAATTTAATGGGAAGAAATATATTTCTCTTGCTAATAAGCCTCCTCAACATTTTAAAAGGACGTAATGTATGCATCAAGAATGCAAAGAAGAAAACCATTCTATCAGTCTCAGTGAAGCCTTCTCAAAGCAAGGAACCCTGGCATAGTTGTGGGGAAGAGCTCCAAAAACCTGTAACACCATATAACTTTCTGCATGTGGTGGGGGCAGGAGACAGAGACACGGGCGGTGTGTCTCATGTTAAGATCAAGGCTAAAGAGAGAAAATTGCTCCTCATGAGTAAAGGAGATGCTAATTGGCTGGTAAAGTAGTTAAGAAATTTTGAAGTGCTTTTCCAATAGCTGCACTGAGCCACAGATTCTTTTCTATACAAAATGGCTAATTGTAGGACTTATGGAGAAAAGCTAACATCTATCAAGGACTGAACTAGTATTATTAAACCAGTGATGAACATCCTCTCAAGTACTGTACAGCACTTACTGAATGAACATGAACTTTTAATTAAACTAAAAAAGCATGTGTGAAAAACTCAAATTATAAATCTATAAATGTGTAACACTGTAAGAGACAAAATGAAAATGGTAGGTGCACTAACAGAAACTATTCTGTTGAAGTCATGTGAAAATAGGACATTCCCTAAATAAAAATGATAATTTGACCCCTTGTCTATAACTAAAAAGTTAAATTACTGACATAACGTGGAGTAACAAAATGAGAAAAGTTAAAACTGAAAGGGGTACTATGCTAGTAACTCCTAAGAAACAATGAGATTTTATAAACTATATAGGCTCTGAAGTGAAAAGGAAATGTGGCTCACTATTTTAACAAAATATGTACATTTTAGAGTGAGTTTTAAAGGATGGTATGGCTACAACTTTGCCTACTATTTAGTGCTATTTAACATTTCCTTAGTAAAATAAGTAATGTAATAAATGGCAAGCTTATTAAATTCCCATCAGCAAATAAAATAGATACAAAGAAATAACTTTGGTGGATTAGAAGTGCTTTTAAAATGGGGTTAGTATATTAGAAAACTCTACGTAATTAATGAAATGATTCAGACAGTTGCATTATCAACCATTCAGGCATAAGTTATTTCCCAGTGTAAAGAAAGAAAGCATTTTTAACAACACAATCACTTTGAATACATTAAAATCTTTTAAAAAGTTTTTTTTTTCACATCAAAATATCCTTCATACTTATGCAAGTCTTTCCTGTCATTTTGCAAAATAATATGTTCTGGAATATAAGACACAGCATACAAGGTAAAGGCTGGCCACGTGCGAGAATTGAAATGTAGCAGAAAAAACACACCTTGTACCATAGCAGACCTACAAGTGAAATATGATAGCGAGCCACCATTCTCGTTGTGTTTTAAGCAAGCACATTACTGGGGTTCATAAATAGAAAATTAGTTTAGAAACTCTGAGGTAAGTTTCTTATTTTACTCATCACTGCTTGACTCATGCTGGCTATCCATGCCCAGTTATGATCTCCACATCTGAAAGGGAATGCAGAGAAATAAAAAGGAAGGAAGCCCACACAGATGATGAAAGGGTTGGAAAAAGAAGAAAGATCAAAAGGATACAAGGAGTCAGGCTGTGAAGAAAAACCTGAGGGAATGCTTTATAATGTTCTAGAAATATATGGGTTATTATATTGGGAATGGTAACCAGCTGTTCTCCATCTCTATTTAGGACAAACCAGAAGAAAATGGCTTAAATCAAGGCAATGACATATTTGGGTTACTAAGGAAAATTGTGGAATCTTTTCTAGAATTATTTAAACTAGACAGATATTTAATGTACCTAGGCTGGCTCAAGTACAGGAGTGAGAACTATAATCTGATTTACAAGATCCTTTTTAACTCCAATTTCTGCATATACTTTATCAAGACAAATATACTAAAATGCATAAAGGAACTATTAAATATTATTGAACACAGTCAATTACTCCAAATGATAGGGGGCAATAGAACGAAAATTGCTGTAAATCAAACCATAATGTGAGGCAATAGGTAAGATTTTTAACCTCAGAATGCTTCAGCTCTCTAGTGGCATTGTCTGTAGAAGGAGACTGTAACAGTATCTACCTGTCTAAGTGCTGTGATAATAAAAATGAGATAATCTGCATAAAGCATCTGATACCAATTCTCTGGAATATTAGAGGCTCAGTTGTTAGTTCCCTTCCATTCTCTGGTGAATACAATACATAAGATTTTGAATTTTCCAAAAGGAATGAAGATACAACACCATGAAACTTCCCTGAATTTTTGCTCATATTATTCACACAACTGAAAAGTGGGAAAGTATAAGTATACCAACCATAAAAAAAAAGTCCCTTCTCCAGTCTGTAATTTCCTATCCCATTCTCTCCCCCTTCCCTGGTGTTCACAGGTCTGAGCTTTTTTTTGAATAGCACCATATTTCTATATTATAGGCAAATTGTGGTCATCCAAAAGGGTCCCACATTTGTGTTACTAGTCATCATGGCTCACTTTTTAAGTGGTTCATGACAAAGTCAATGCCAGTATAATCAGAAGGCTTCTAAGGTGTTTAGTATTCATCAAACAAAATGTGGTTACAAATTCCTTCAGAAGCAAACAATTCTATAAACAATTCTCAAGAACTGGGCTGCATGGCTGGAGAGTCTCCAACTGACAATAAAATGAACGAGGAACTGGTGATGTTTGCCAGAGTTCATGTCCTTTAGCCACCTGTTGCCTGGTAACTAACTGGGCTCACCTCTTCATTCAGACCACTTCTCAGATGCTACAGTAAAATTATTCTCACATGCAAATCACCTAGTAATTTTCACATCAAGAGTGGGAGAAAGTTTTTTTTTCCTCAGCTGTAGGAATAATCTTTTTTAAAAAGCTAAATATTCCTGACAGTCTACACTCTACTCATAAATGTGCTATCAAACTGAACACGTTTTCTTCCCTTCAAAATAAAAGGTTTTGTTGTTGTTGTTCTTTTTGTTGTTTTTTGAGACAGTCTTGCTCTGTGCCCCAAGCTGGAGTGCAGTGGCGTAATCTCGGCTCACTGCAACCTCCGCCTCCCGGGTTCAAGCAATTCTCCCACCTCAGCCTCCTAAGTAGCTGAGACTACAGGCATGCACCATGTCTGGCTAGTTTTTGTATTTTTAGTAGAGATAAAGTTTCACCATGTTGGCCAGGCTGGTCTTGAACTCCTGGCCTCAAGTGATCTACCCACCTTGGCCTCCCAAAGTGCTGGGATTACAGGTGTGAACCACCGCGCCTGGCCCAAAACAGAAGTTTGTTTGTTTGTTTTTTTAATGGAACTAAACTATGTGAAATTTTAAGGACAGAAAAATATTGATACAGTAAGCTGATTTGGCTATAAAGACAGAAAATCCTTTTTCCATTTAGTTTTTAAGAATAAATCACTCCATCATCTGTGAAATAAATTACATTCTCTCAAAATCATCTCTTGAGTATCCACATTATAATCTAGCTTTTCCTGCAGAGAAATTTTACTTGTAATCCAAAATAAATGTTTTTCTCAATTCCAGATAAATTAAGATTATCATTTTTTATGACTTAAGAATATTATCTGTTTTAACTTAAATATATTAATATTCACTGAATTATATCAGGACCAGAAATGAAAAAAAAAGTGTTTAAAATACTTGTCCCACATCTTGCAATTCAATTACAACACAAGACAAACAGAAAAAATTAGTAGAAAAGGGAAGATTGTTTTTAACATATGGGTATACGTACTTAGAAGGTGAAAGGTACAGGGTGGAATGATTTAAATATTTTGGGGGCTGATTGGCTGAATGTAAGCAGGCTGTACTAGAGAATCACTATCTTACAATCTTCCAAATTCCTATGTCCCTGGTTCCAAAGAGTCAGAAATGCCAAATGCCATAAGGTAACTATATGAATAAACAATATTCCAATCTGCTCTGCTTTCAAGGAGGCTTTCATATGTGGAGTAGAGTGAAAAGCTAAAAGCCGTGAACGATATATATATATATATATATATATATATATATATATGAGAGACTTCACACTGAATATTAATGCCCCAGAAAATAAACAGGAGTTAACTAGGTAGAACTCCCTTTTATGAGCAAAAGCAGCTCCAGGTTTTAGAATGGCATTTATTTTTAATTTAATGCCAGGCACGGGGGTGGTGGGACTGGCAAACCTGCACTTTTATCTTTAACTTCATTTATTTCCATGGTTTGATTCTGTTATGAGAAACAAAACAGAGAAAGAAATTAGGATATTTGGAAGAAAACTATTTAAGGCTCCAATCGCTCTGGGTTCACCAGAATCTCAGAACTACAGATTTTCCGAGATTCTTACATTTCAGGATATTTAAAAACTAGGGTATTTTGACAAGACTTACATATTTGTGAATAAATTCCTGTCAAAAGCTCTCAATGACATATATGTAGATGATAGCAGGTTAAGTTATATTTATTTCCTAGAGTATAGGACCTGAGCTGGAAACTCATCACTAACCAGCCCAGTGAAAAAGGACAATTGTGTAATTTAGAGGATATTCATATCAGGTTTCTGGAGCAAATTTAAGATATGCAAACTGTTTATTATGACTGGAAGAACAAAAGCCAAGGAACTAAAATTATTAATACAGAGACCTTCTGAGCTCCTAGGACTATCTGAGACCATGTATTTCTAACCTCTGACAAAGACAATAAACTACCTTGCTCTTTGGCACACACCTGGAACTACTGTTCACAACACACAACAATCACAGCTATCAATCGATTATTCCTTTCCTTTTATTCAAGAAACATTGAAAATAAAGGGATGATAATTAAGGGATAATTATTTAGATTGATATAGCAAAGCAATGTCTGTATTAAATTTTAGACAAGTCTTAGATCTTGTGTGTGGCTGCAGTTCCATCCTACAGACTATTTCTATTGATATATTGCTGCTGTCTCAGCTGTTGCTGCCACTACAACTTCAGCAGCTAGGCAAGGCAATACCAGAATAGGAAGGTGAGTTTGTCCTATTTTCAGAGAAAATATAGAATCAAAGATTGCTGATTTAGGTATACCAGCTTCATACTGAAAAATGGGAAACTGCTTTAATAAGCTCTCAAGTATCTATCAAGTACACAACTTCAATAGTAAGAGATCGAATGTTTCTCTAATGCATGTCTTCTTTGGACTAATTCTGGAATGTGTTCTACATAATAAATACTTTCTAGCTCAAACTCTTTGAAATCTGAATCTCGTGGAATTGCTACAAAGTTGTGCTATCTTGTTTTAAATTCTAATACCTGACATACGTTAAAGAGCCTTTAGGTTGAATAAAATTCACTGAATTTTAGATTTCAATGAATTTACAAAAAATATAAATTTATTATATTTTATTAAATATAAAAATATAATTATATATTAGTAAATCTATAAATATACTATATACATCATCTATTATGTTTCATTATATTATCTATCTTATCATACATACTTAAAGTTGAAAATATATTAGCCTATATGTATGCACAGTTTAGAAGTTCCCAACTTATCCTTCACAATTCATTCTTAAAATACTAACATGCACATAGATAATGCCACTAAATCTCCCTTTACCCCAACTGTCTCAATGGAAACTGTAATAAGCTTAAAAAAGAAAATAATACTGAGAAATAAATTCAAAACCTAAACTAAAAGCTAAAATATCTATTTGTATAGATGTGAACATATTTTTACTAAGGAGATTGTGCCTATTTGAGCTAAAAGAGATATTTAAATGAGTTGATAAAGTTTGGCCTCAAAGCAACTGCAAAAGTAAATTGAAATGACACAATAATATTGGTTTACAATGAAATGGTTATTCTGCAAAGAGTAATATCAACATGGAACTAGCCTTTATGTTGACCTATGAAAATAAATGATCTAGGAATTTACTTATAACGGCTATCACAGTGAAATGGACCCTACATTTAACTTATTGAAAACCTATCACAGGGCCTTCACTAACTCTCCACGGTGACATCTCAGCTTAGACTTCATTCTATGCTTAGAAAGAACATCTGAATACAAAATATTTTTCAGAGTGATGAGGTTGTGTGATTTCTAATTGGTCTCTAATTTATAATTTTTTAAAATAACGTTACCATTTTCATTAAATATACTTGTTCTCTCACTTTATTTTCCTAGGTAAAAAGAACAAACACTGATCTCTTAAGTAGAGCAGCCACTCACTAGGGGATGGAACTGGGAGGTCTGGTGAAGGCCCTTGTCTAAACACCTACCCCCACCCACCACTCCAATGAACAAGCCTTAAACTTCCACTTTTAGAAATTCATTCTTTTAGTGTAAGTCATTGAACTTTCTTAAAATCTAAGTATCATTTAGAGATAAAACTCATTATGCATCCTGAGTCACTTATACTTTCAAGTATGTGAATGTATCACCTATTGATGCAGCCATCAATCTCTAAGAGATAGAAGCAAACTTGAGAAAAGCCCAGAATAGCCAAGAATTAACTTTGACCTACTCAAAAATGTGTCCAAGAATGACCCAGGAAGACTATGGTTGTTTACTGTTATTTTAAATCTCTCACTATCTTTAGAATAAGGTTCAAATTCATATATTATTTATAGACTTATGCTTTAAAGCTGATGGGAAATAGTGTTTCCCAAGCTGGATGCTAAGCTGGATATTGTACAAATATACTTCTATTTAAAGACTTGAACTGTTCCTGGCCCAATTAAATATTAACAAATCAGCAAAAGCTATATACCATTACTTCATTCACCTCAAATTACATAATTTGAAAGTTTCAAGGCACATTCATCTTCAAGGCACTAGCTACAGTGATCAACTGAAAACGGCTCCTCTTCCTATGCCTATTTCTGAAATTGTAAAAATGGAAATCTGTGAATACTTTGAATTTTTTTTAATTTAAATTCTAGTGAAAGTTTTATCACGTAAAAAATATATAACAAAAACATTTATCCACCGCCATGTTTAAACCAATATTAAGATTTCCCTATTTTTGTTTCCAAAAAGAAAAAAAAGGGAAAAAAAGTCATATATATACATAAACCCTCAAGCCTCCATCTTTTTCCTTCCTTTCTACCTAGGGATAAAATATTTTTTTAATGCATAGGTATAAGTCCCATGCATGTTTTTAGTCTTTCACTATACATGTATATCCACAAATATGCAATACTGTTTTCTGCATTTAAAATTTCATAGAAATGGTATTATACTGTAAGTGTGCCTCTGAAACTTTAATTACTCACTCTAATTTCCAGATTAACCATGTTGATATAAATAAATAAATTTCCTCATTTTAACCATTGAATAATGTTTTACTAAATAACTGTATATCACAGTTTATTTTAGGCATTACCCTACTGAGGAGATGGTTAAATTGTGTTCACTTTTTCCCTCATTTACAAACAGTCCTGAATGACCAACTCTGTACAGGCCTACTTATACACAATTGTGAGAGTTTCCTTACATTGTAAACTAGTAGGAAAATCCTTGAGTATATGAATGAAAATTGTCAATTTTTCTAGGTATTATCAAATGGTTTTCAAAGTGACTTTGCAAATCTATACTCCTGCAGAAATGGGTACAAGTTTGTTTCTCCATGCTTTCCCCAACAATAAGTGTTACATGACATTAATATTAATATTATTATATTATATATAATTAAATGTAAACTTGTGATAGTTTGCATTATTATATGTAATATAACAACATTATTATATATAATATGATAACAATATTATATATAGTATAACAATATTATATATAGTATTATTAATATGACTCTTTAATAATAATATTGGCAGCCAGTAGCTGCCAATCTAATGGATGTGACCTGGACTCTCTTTTTGTCAACCTGCATTTTTTAACATTACTCATATCATTGAACATCTTTTCATATAATTACTGACAACTTCAATCAATTCTTATGTGATAGTTCTTATCCTTTCCTCATTTTTTCTATAAGGACTTCTGTCTTTTTCTTATCAATATGCAGAATTTTTGTTTTTTAATAGCCTGGGTACCTATCCTTCACATGTGATATTTTTTTTCTCTCAGGCTGTGGCTTACATATTTACATGTAGCATATTCTTTCTTCATGGTAATACAAACTTTTTTTTTGGGGGGGTGCATTTATTTGGTTTTTTTTGTATCTTAATGTGGTAAGTTCTATTAATTTTTTACTGATGGCATCTGTTTTTTGTGAGTTTTTAAAACAAATATATCCTTCATTACCACTATATCATACAGATACTCTTCTATAACTTGTTGTAACTTGTTTCTAAAAGCTTTACCATTTTACTTTTCATATTTAGTCTTTTGGGGTAAAGTTTCAAATAGTGTCTGTTTTATCTTTTTCCCTGTGGATAAACTAATTTATCATGTATTCAGTGGTCCCTATTTCTATTAGTTTATGATACCACCTTTAAGAAACATCAAGTTCCCACATATGTGGATCCATTTTCAGTGCTCTCTTCTATTCTGCCATATCAGTATGTTTCCTTTTCCCTGTACCAATACCACATTCTTTTATTTACCACAAGTAAGTTTGGGTATCTGGTATAACAATTACACTCCAATTCCGCTGCTTCTCACTCCATTCTTCTTCTTTTTAAAAATTATCTTTGCTATTTTTGGCCCTTATTATTCCACATAAATCAACTTATCTACTGAACAAGTTCAGGATGCCATCCCAAAATACACCATTTGACATGTTGATCATTTTGAGCTAAAGGCACCTGAAAAACAGCAGGTGCAAGAGATGCACTCTGATTTTCCCTTTTCTTCATAAAGCAGGAGTTGAAACTCCCATACCTTCCCTATACCAGGAGAAGAGAAATAGTCTCATCACAAGAGGAGGGGAGTTAAGGCTGAAAGAAATCTGTACAAACAGACCTTCTTAAACTAACCCCTCTCTTCCTAGTCACTTTTCTACAATTGCCACTCTTTGTTCCACATAGTATGTAAGCATTTAGAGCTAGTCATTTCTTTGGGTCTCCATTTTTCTTGTGAGAGCATTTTGTTTACAGGCACATGTAAATAAAATGTGTATGTTTTTCTCCTGTTGATCTGTCTTATATCAGTACCAGCTGGAGACCACAGGGGGTTAGAGAAAAATTTTACCTTCCCTACATTATCAAGTTATATGAAAACCCTTATGGTATTTTGCAACTAAAATTTTATTGAATTTATAGATTAATTTGGGGAGACTTGTCATTTTAAACATACTGACTCTTACCCATCCATACAGATATAGCTTTCAATGATACTTTAAAATTTTCTTCATAAAAGATCTTCTACAACCTTTATTAGATTTCTTCTCAATTACTTTACATTCTTTTATGTAATTTCTACATGGTCTCTTTTTAAAATTACCCTTCGTAACTGTATGGTTAGGTGTATAGGAACACTTAATTTTTTATATTGATCTTGATCTAGCAACTTTTGTTGATATTGAAGATTGCTCTGTACATTCTCCTGGACCTCTGCAAATATTGAGAATTTGTTTCTTCTTTTCCAGTATGAAACCTTTTAACAGTGAGCATTCTTCTCTTCTTCCTTAATTTAAAGGAAATGTTTCTAGGTTTCATTTTTAAATATTATTTTTTAGAGTTTTTGGTAGTTACTATTAAGTGGTGTTCCTTTTATTCTCATATGCTATGAGTTTATATCATAAAAGACCATTCAATTTTATCAAGTTATTTCTACCAACATTTTTTAAACTTTGAATATAAATTAGATTCAACAGTAACTAGAAAGTATACATTAATATATAGTTAGGTTTTTAGATAACATTCCTCAATTAATTTCTATGGAGCATTCTCATCTTACTAGATGTTATAGGTGGTTTCCAGGATCAAGTCGGTTTGGGAAATGCTGTGAACTGTATACCTCCTTCTTAGCAATTCACAATATATGTCATTAGTTTTGACTCTGAGATATCCTACAGTGAAACAGTATACAGCTGATTGTGTAACAAAAAGTTTCTCAAATTCGCTTGATCAAGTAATTTCTCTTTTCTCAGAACAACTTACTGGCATTTCCAGGGCACTACTATTCCACAAATCACTGATAGGGAGACCTTGTTTTGGAGTAATTTCAAGAGTCATAAAAAATTATTACACACCTAGAGAACCATTACTCCCATTAGTTTCTCTGAAAAGCCTAATGCCAGAAACAGAGAAAAAGCCATACTTGTGCCACATCACCGGAGACTGAAGTCACTGAAGAATTTGCTCCTAGTTTATTTCAGGTACTAGGCTTCTAAGTATGTATTTGCATCAACCTTCTCTACAATTGCTCCACTTCAGTCATTTGCTCACAGTAGTACAAAAATATTAAGAACAAATTTTCTAAGATTCACAGATATGGATCGCAACTCAATTTGCTGTACTAGTTAAATTTAGTCTACGATTTCTATCAAGCCCCCAGCTTTTACTAATCAAAAGACAAGTGTGTTGGCTGTCATGACAGTATTGTACAAAAAAAAGACAAATGTCAAGAGCCAAGTATCATTCTATTATACACTAAAAGAAAGTAGTCTGTTACTTGATTGACATTTTCTTGTCAGTTGATGAATCTTGAACAAATCACAAGCTTGGGCTGGGCATGGTGGCTCACACCTGAAATCCCAGCACTTTGGGAGGCCAAGGCGAGTGGGTCACTTCAGGTCAGGAGTTTGAGACCAGCCTCACCAACATGGCAAAACCCCTGTCTCTACAAAAAATACAAAAATTAGCCACATGTGGTGGTGCACACCTGTAGTCCCAGTTACTCTGGAGGCTGAGGCAGGAGAATCGCTTGAACCTGGGAGGTGGAGGTTGTAGTGAGCTGAGATTATGCCACTGTACTCCAGCCTGGGTGACAGAGCAAGACTCCATCCAAAAAAAAAAAAAAAAAAAAAGACATACACACAAGCCTGTAGAACTCATCTCTAACTTGAAATATTTCCTTTGATATACTTAATAAAATTACTGCATAAAAGTAGTAACATCCAGCAAAGTGAACTTAGTGATATAAAGGAGGACACATGGTAATGAGCAGAATGTTTAGCTTTATGTGTTTCTAAAACTGAATCCCTACAAATTCATGTTTGGTGCCATTTAGGAATATTTTGCACACCAAAACAAAAACAACCCAATGATACAGTTATGAACACAAAATTGAACAAGTGAATAGTGTTCCAAGCTCTTTGTGTTCCAATTATTTTCATTTAATATTGGGAATTAAATGTTTGAAGGAATTCCCATAAAAGATTACATCTTTCTGACCTATTTTACCTTTTCCAAGTTTTAAAAGCGATCAGGTTCAAATAAACATTCTAGTGTTTTGCTAAATAAGCCACTGGGATATGTTTTTTCTGTCCCTCTCAGAACAGCAATTATCATCACAAATTAAGAGGGAAAGGCAGATGTCTCAAAGAGCAATAAATTTTAATTTGTGAGTAGTTTATATTTTCCAGAATTCTCTTATCTTTTCTATTCATTTATAAAATCAATTAGAAACAGTATCAATAGCCAAAGAAAATGTTTATTAAAAAAATAAGAGAAAAATCCTACTTGCAGAAAAACTTTCTTTGCTGGTCTCTACCCAATATGAGTTTTTAAAATGTAGGTGATAAAGTAAGATTTACAGGAACCTTTTGGATAATCTCGTATAATCAACTTTTATAGAATGCTCATGATTGAATTCTTAAAAAATTCCAGGACTTGGTACTGCCTGAAGCTTGAGTTATAAATATATAACTCAACTGTACTTTTATTGTACATAAGCAAAGGAAAAATAAAATCTTTATCTCCAAAAGTGAGTGTTAAGGTAAAGGCAAATACCTTTTTGTGAATACCACTTGAAATGATTCTACTAAATCTCTATTCTCTAATTTTAAATAGCAAAGATGGTGGAGAGAGTTGAATTTTCATTCCTAAAATCTTTGATTACTGGAGAGAGAATTGTTCGTATGCTTAACTATTTTTATTTCCTTCGTAATAGTCTTAGTTAAATAATTAAACCTTAAAGCTATACTTACAGAATTATATTAATATAACTATATTAAAGTTAGATTGCTGACCTCAATTATAATATAGACCTAAGAGTATAACCTACTATATCACAGTTATTTATGCTGTTAACCATTAGATATATCATGCTCTTGAGGGTCCATTAACTTTTTTCACAACAGTCTTCAATAAAATTAATACTGTTAAGTGGCACAAGGAGAAGACTTAAATTTTTAAAGCAAATCTATGGGAATTATTTTTCAAGCAGAATAGAAACAAAAGATGTACATAAATATTATAACTGCCCAATGGGTTTTCTTTACCTGCTGCCTAGACAGAGAAGATTTACCAAGAGAGGGAAATTGCAATAGAGAGTTTAATTCATACAGAGCCAGCTATTTTTATTGTTATTCAAATCAGTCTTATTTGAGTTGTATTACTACTTAATAATAAAGACCAGAGTTTTATTATTACTCAAATCAGTCTTCCCCAAAACTTGGGGATCAGGGTTTTTAAGGATAATTTGGTAGGTAGGGTGTCAGAAAGTGGGAAGTGCTGATTGGTCAGGTCAGAGATGAAATCACAGGGAGTTGAAGCTGTCCTCTTGTACTGAATCAATTCCTGGGTGGTGGCCACAAGACCAGATGAGCCAGTTTGTCAATCTAAGTGATGCCAGATGATCCATCAGTGCAGGGTCTGCAAAATATCTCAAACTATGATCTTAGGTTTTACAATAGTGATGTTATCACCAGGAGCAATTTGGGAAGGTTTAGAATCTTGCAGCCTCCAACTGTATGACTCCCAAACCATAATTTCTAATATTGTGGCTAGTTCGTTTGTTAGTCCTGCAAAGGCACTCTAGTCCCCAGGCAGGGAAGGGTTTTGTTTGGGAAAGGGCTGTTTTCATCTTTGTTTCACAGCTAAACTATAAACTAAGTTCCTCCCGAAGTTAGTTCGGCCTATGCCCAGGGATGAACAAGGACAGCTTGGAAGTTAGAAGCAAGATAAGAGTTGGTTAGGTCCAATCTTTTTCACTGTAATAATTTTCTCAGCTATAATTTTTGCAAA
Organism: Homo sapiens; assembly: GCF_000001405.40. Taxonomy (NCBI): domain Eukaryota; kingdom Metazoa; phylum Chordata; class Mammalia; order Primates; family Hominidae; genus Homo; species Homo sapiens. Next base: position 113,718,832 of record NC_000004.12, read on the forward strand.
GGTGGTTTCAAGAAAATTTTGTCACTATATGCTTTTATCTAAAGTTAGACAACATTTTAGACAAAAGGATATAGTGACAAATTTTTTTGAGAAAGAAACCTAAATACTACTAAATATTAAGAAAAAACAGTGAAAATCTAAATTAAAAATGAATGAAATAGATAACAATTTAACAATATGCTAACATCTATGCTCAAGTAAAAAATGGAGTGATAACAAAGTAAATTCAAGATAAACATAAACTGTTAATGAATAATTTATGTGATTATTTATATAGCTTCACGTTTGTCATCTTGAAATTTCCCTATGTCTTGCATCCTTTATTCCTGTTAAATAAAATTTATAGGAAGCCATTGATTTGGACTGAGATCCTGTACTAGGACCCAACGGAATAGACCAAACCAAAATGGAGTCCCTCATACTAATGTTCAGAAATCAGGAGAGAGATGATAGCCAAATTCTCAAATAGGCCAGTTCTGGCCAACATGGTAAGTCCCCTCTGCTTTAACCCAGTAACCTGAAGTAACCTGATATTAACCAATTTGCTTTTCATATTATGCTGTTTTCCTGTTCTTGCTCAAGCTATCTTATAAAAACTGACCATTCTACCATGCCCTTCAGAGCAACTTTTCTAAATTTTTCAGTGAGATGCTACTCAATTCGTGAATTGCTATTAAAAGCCAATTAGATCTTTAAACTAAATTTGTTGAAAATTTGTCTTTTGACAATCCTCAAAGCACTACTTTGAAACAGAATGGAAATGAACACAACTGGTAGTTAACTAGCTAAATACGTATGATTCACAAAACACTATCAAGCTAACTCTAAAAATTTAAGGCCCCCTTGGGGGATGGGGAAGGAAGAAACCTCTAAGATCACTGTTCTCACTTTTAACATCTAGTTCAAACCCTAAGTTTAGTCACATTTTATTATATGGGATCCCAAATTAAATAAAAGAATAATGAAGCCAAGTACCTACTCAAAGCGCTGATCTCTATGGGATCTAAAACATCACCTAAAATGTAACCGAATAGAAAGATACAGAACTCAGAGAGACTACAGAACTGATAAGAAGCTGGAAAGAATACTTAGCTAAGTAGCTTGAAGTTGAAGATTAAAACCCTTCAGGCTCCTATAACCAGAGGTGATTGATTAGAATAATACTAAATTATATTCTAAGGATCACAGAGATTTTAACTGTGAAATTTTGGTTTGGACAACAGAGTTGCAAATGTAAAGGCAAAGCTACATTACTCATGATAGCAGATGACAAGCCGAGTTGCTATCAACAGTTCTCAGATAATATTAATTGTTCAAATGTCTAGCATTTGAAGGGGTCACAAATCATTAGTCTATTTGGGGATGGCCACAGGTCTTGTTGGCCATGATTTACCTGTGCCACCAGTTAAAGGGTTCTGATTAACAACTCAGTAGTAGTAACCAAATTTAAGTTGCATTTTTAAAAGTACTCAAAGGTATTTCCCATCTCTAATCAAATACCAATTTTTGGTAAAGAAAATCAACAATCACATTCTCACACACACACACACACACACACACTCACACATTTTAAAAAAACGCCTTCTAATAGATTTAGCAATTCAGAATCAACACATCCCACTACTGAGAGCAGTAAACATACTGAGAATATTTAAAAGTGGGAATGCATTAAAATCCTCTTAAGAAGACTGGTGATTTGAATCTGATATTGGCCATCTATAAATGCTAAAAAGTATCCTCAAATTTCAAAAAAAAGCTAATATCAAATTAACCAGAAATGGGTTATTGTCTGACCAGATTATTTCAGCTGCTTATGAAAGGGCATATTTAGATGCAAAAGCAAAAAATAATAATTTTAACAATAGAAATCATAATCACAGAAAAAAAAATCCCACTATCCTTTCAAGCAGAACCAAGTAATCCCAGCAAATATACTGACTTCAAAATAACTGGCATATTCTCAATATGAAATTCTGTGACAGAAAAATGATCACATTTAGCATATTCTGTTTCATCCAATCAGATATGATGCCCAATTGTATTACCAGTGCATATTTTATTGAATATGCCCATTATTACAACATATTAAGTACAAGTGAATATTTTGTTTCTGGCCTGTTCTCCAGAAACAAATGTTAAGATGTAATTGGTTTACATATGCAAGGATAAACAGGCTGAAATACACATAAAAAACTTCATTTCCAAACTTCACTTAGGTAAATATAAGAATTACATACGCTTACTCACTTTAACGCTACTTCTATAAATACCACTACTAAGCAGTCAGGAAGGAATAAACCTAGGCTCTGCACCTAAGGAGCTCATTAGAGATAATCATCTGCGGTAGGCTGTGACAAAATAACAGAGGTGAATTTTCAATTTAATTACTAGTAATAAGAGAGTGGAAAGGTAACTTGTGATCAAAATTCTACAGATCAAGTTGAGATATTAAGGTGATATTCAAGAAATAGCAAATAAAGCTTTTCATAAAAACATCAGATTTACTCTTCTAATTCAGCTACCTAAATATAATTCTCACTGATTGTTCCCTATTCCTACCCTAAAAGGCAGAGAGGGGATATTATTAAAAACACTTTACCCAGGAACCTGAGGACTGGGAAATTCTACAACCAATTGTGTCACTAATACAATATGTAACTTTGTCTAAGTCACATCTCCAGACCCTCGTTTCCTAAGCTGGAAAATGAGAGTGTTGCAGTAAATGAATACCAATGTTCATGTGGGGACCCACTTGGGACTCCATGGTTGGTATAAATTTTATTTTAAGCTGAAGACATCTGTGATTCAACAGATACACAAGCCTCTTCAGAGTTTCTCTTATCTGAATAAAAGTAAAAGCAAAGACTTCTAACAAATGAGGACTGCCGTAAATTATCTCTTTGTGGTGGCTTCTAATCCCAGCAGAGAGCCCAAAAGTAAATTTATCATAAATCCTCTATCTGGGGGCATTTTCTGGCCCTAAGACGATATAAAGACCACTTGTACTGGTGCAGTCAAACATTGTAACAAATGTTATCTTCTGTTTGTTCACCAAAAATAACCCACTTGTCTTTCTTAAAGAAACCTATTTGTTCTTCCCACAGGAGCCTTTTCTCCCCACTGCCTTTCCCCTACTAAGTTAGGAATATAAACTCCAAATTCTAATGATCCCTTTAAGTTACTCATCACTTAGCACGCCCATGTATATGTATGTTGCATGCATAAATTCATTTTTCTCTTGTTAACCTACCGATTGTCAGTTTAATTCACAGGTTTCCATGTACAAACTTAAGAGAGTATAGAAAAAGTTTTTTGCTTTTCTTCCCTACATTAAACCTTCAAACATTCCTCCAAAGTTCTCAAATCCTAAACCAAAACAACTAAAAGGTGAAAATAGCCCATCAACTTATTTGTCTTCATGATGCCAAATAACTTAAAAGAGTAAGTTGTTTGGAAATTAAATTGCTTAAATTGACCTCTAATTTGATATCTCATATGGAATGGCACAGTACATTAGAAAGTTTACTAAAGCAGTAAAACACTGAAAATCTAATCTAATCAAAAATTATTGCTGGGTCTCAAAAATGCTCCTCTTCCCTCCTCAGATTCAGAAATGGAGAAATAAAACAATGGAGTAGCTGACTGAGGCCAAAATAATACTTATAAAGACAATATTAAAGTACACGGCTCTTTATTTATATGCAAGCAATGTGCTTTCTTAATACCGAACCCTAGAATTATGCAGGATTATTAAGGTGAACATATAGCTTATTATTCCAACTGGGGTACTCAAGGGAGTGAAATATGGTGTTATGAATAATCATATTGGGGACGACATCAAGTGGAAGTGTCCTGGGCAAAACAAGATGTACGGTCATGCAGCCAGAACCCAGCTTTCCCTCTGCAGAGTTGAAACCTAGACTCTAGTTCCTCTAGACTACAGAGCCCAATTGGTGCTCCTTGCAGTTAAGCCTGTTCCAAAACCCCTTGCCTAATACATTCTTCCCAAATTTATCAATCACGTTAAGCTATTTCACCTTCACCAAAGCAGAGATGAAGGGGAAGTGAAGTAGGAGAGAGAGAGAGAAGGTCACTAATTGCACTAATTAAGGTCCCTTTACCTTGAAGGAAATATTAAAAATGGGGAAGAATCTCTTTCTCTAACGACTTTGTAATTTATTATCTCTGAGCTAGACCCCTCATATACAAAATGAAAATAATACTATAACTCTTAAGAAAGAGTTGTTTTGAGGATTAAAGAGAAAACACATATAAAATTTTTTGAGTTTCAAAAAAATTACAATTGCTTTATTACTTTATTAATCATTAAGATTACAGTGTCTAAACACAAGCTTACTGAATATTATTTCATGAATTTCTTTACCAAAAATAACTTTTTTTTTTTTTTTTTGAGACAGAGTCTTACTCTGTCACCCAGGCTGGAATGCAGTGGCACGATCTCGGCTCACTACAACCTCCACCTCCCAGTTTCAAGCGATGCTCATGCCTTAGCCTCCTAACTAGCTGGGAATACAGGCGTGTGCCACCATGCCTGGCTGATTTTTTATTTTTAGTAGATACGGGGTTTCATCATGTTGGCCAGGCTGGCCTCGAACTCATGGCCTCAAGTGATCTGCCCGCCTTGGCCACCCAAAGTGCTGGGATTACAGGCATGAGTCACTGCATCCGGCCACTTTACTAAAAATAATTGTAACTACTTTTCCTACAAAGTAAAATAAATCAGTGAGGTTTCACGCTATACTCCTTATCTGAATTGGGCTAACTGGCCAGTGTTGAAAATTATAAGCAATTAACAATTTCAAAACTCTGCAAAAAATTATATGTGTGTATATGTATACATATATATAAAATGAGCAAAATTATACCAATTGAAATTATACATTTCCAATAACTGTTTGACTATGACATTACTCACCATAAAAGACATAGGTAGCATTCAGGCAACATACAAAGAATGGGGTAGAAAAACACTGAAGGATACTAAATTTACAGGATTGTTATCAAGGTTAAAGTATTTTTAAAAACCTTCTGTTTCTGCAATTAATATTTACTTTTTCTTTATGAAGTGAATAAATTTTATTAATTGCCTTTTCAATACCTATCAGGGTAAGACTTTTGTTATATAACATATTGATGTTATATTACGTATTACGTTAATAAAATTCCTAATGTTAAATTAGATTTGCATTCCTGATATTAACACTACTCAATATGTTATTTCATTTGCTCTTATTTTGGATTCTGTGTTTATTCATGTGAACTGTTAATATTTTGGAATAAAGAGACTTTCTTCATAAAATGAAATAGAAATTTTTCTACTTTTCGTATGTTTTGGATTACTTTATATAAAACTGTGGGCTTCGACAACAAAATGAAAATACAAATTTGTTTTGTTAATTATTTGTTATTGAAGTCTTTAAAATTATACTTTTTTTCTTTTTACGATTCTCGGCATATTGTTTTACTAGTTACTGTATCGTTTTCACTCTGAAAATTATGTTTGGAATTGAGATGTATACTTTGCTTAATACATAAATGTATACAATATTAACTTATAACAGTTAATATTTTATCTATTATTACATGGTGCTTTCATTTTCAATTAATCTATTAAAATATGTAAGAAATATTAATGTATTTAATAAATATTTACCGAGCATTTACTGCCAGCCAGGTACATCTATACTCTAGGCATAAAGCACCAATAAAGTAGAAAACAAAAAAAAAGCCTCCCAATCTCTTGGATTTTTAGTCCATGCCTTTGGTTATTTGTTTATTATTTGTTTGAAATAAGCGGCTTTTGGTTCTACTGTAAATACTTTTGATTTTTTCCTATTATTTGTCTTTGTATTTTGTTCTTTATAAGTTTTCTTCTTGCTTTCCTTGGTTAATTTCTGTTATCATACAGCCTTAAGGTAACGTTAGATAATATCTTTTTTCCTTTTGTTATTAGGTCATTTAGCACATACATTTAACACTATGATAACTTTTCTTTTTATAACAGCTTCCAACAATATATATATTCTCCTATAATTTTTTGTTTTAAAATTTCTTCTTTAACCAATACAGTGGTCAAAATTCTTTGCCTTTTCAAACTTTGACATACTAAATCTGTTTTTTCATTCATTTTACTTTATCTCGCATTTAGCTATAAAGATCGTTTTCTCCATTCAGCGATTTAATTTCCAAAGGATCCATTTCTCAGAAAATTTAAAAATAGATATGCATTAAAACCCATTTTAATTTAATAGGCTTAAGATGTGCAACTAGAAATGCACTACATCAAATGAAAATAAACTATGTAAGAATTCTGAAAATAGATTGTGGGAGGAAGGGTCTCAGATTGAGTAGCATCAAAATCATGTGTATATATAACTATGTATATATCTTAGCAATTAAGCTAAAAAAGATGAATGCCCACATAATTATGTAAAGATACACAGTTTACTACTAATAGATAACCAGCAACTATTTTTGCAGAGTGGAAACAGGGTGTGAAAAAGAATCTTTTCAATTTCATTTTGTAACTCTAGCCTATCGAATTTTATTAATGAAAATAAATTACTCCTAATAATATAAAATATACTTTAAAAAGTGAACGCACTCTGTTCTATGTCAAATTTACTTTGCCTATAAAGGAACAAGTCCCTCTGGCCTTTCTAAGCCACTAATGTAAGGTAAACCTCTCTTGCCCTAAATAGTTCACAAGTAGCTTCTAGTTGATGCTAATAGGTTTAATCTGCTTATAACAAATCACTTATAAATGTATTATCAACAAACCTAAGTATATTTAAATGTACTATCAACAAACCTAACACTAAATTATATTTTAGTGTTAATAACAAATACCATGGTCTGTAAATTAACTACTGTAATTAACTGGATTTAGAAAAAAAAATTTACTGAGTTTCATTCTTCTAAGTTCCAATAGTTTCAAGTCCAGTAAAAGGAAAAATAGTCTTTATGTTAAATGGACACTAAATTTGGAGATATATATATACCATCTAAGGAAGTAAATCATACCATATACATACATATATATCTGCCTATAAAGTAGAAATCAAAACCAAATTAACATTTGAGGAAAGTGGTGCTTCTGCAAGATGTTTGAATACTATGGTCAACAACAGCATTCTAAAGTGAAAGCATAGAGATGAAACAAGTTAAAAACCTGCCCCTGCACCCAGAACTTGTCATGGATCTAGATAAAGATGAAAATATTTAAGTTTATTGAGATCCTTCTTTATGCCAAACAATGTGCTCAGCACTTGTCATAGATTTCCTGCTCTAATCCTTGCAGTAATCCTCTGAGGTACATATTATATTACTCCTCCAAAATTAAGTATTGAAAGATGAATGTTCTGAACCCTATTGACTTACTGGAAAATTCAAGTCCCAAAAGCTTTTACTCTCATTAGTTTTGTTGTACACATTTCCCCTAGACTTAGAAAATGCAACTCTATTCACGACTTTAAAGCACTTTCTGACTGCCTCCACATAAGATTGCTTGTTTTGCTTGGGCTTTTTTTTTTTTTTTTTTTTTTTTGAGTTGGGGTCTCACTCTGTTACTCAGGCTGGGGTGCAGTGGCACAATCATGGCTCACTGCAAGCCTCAAACTCCTGGGCTCAAGTGATCCACCTGCTTCACCCAACTGAGTAGCTGGGGCTACAGGCACACATTACCATGCCTGGCTAATTTTTGTTTGTTTGTTTGTTTGTTTGTTTGTTTTTGGTCAAGATGGGGTCTCACTATGTTGCCCAGGATGGTCTTGAACTCCCTAGGCCTCAAGCAATCCTGCCACCTCAGCCTCCCAAAGTGCTGGGATTATAGGTGTGAGCCACCAAGCCTGACCACGACTGCTTGCTTTTTATGTGATGTTTTATGAGAATACTAGTGATCACATATCAGCTTATTAGGTAATTGAATTAAACTACGAGAGATCACACTTTCACTAGTACAGAAAATATATTACTAGTCAAAGGGCTGCACATTTTTTTGGAAAACAATTTTTTTTGAAACCCGATACAGTTCTGAAGTTTTAACCGCTCCTCTTAATATAAGGAAGTATAGCTCACTCACTTTCACATGAGATACCCTCTCTTAACACCAAACGCATATTTTCTTAGAATTGGTGTTTAAATAGACTTTAAAAGAGAGAGGAGACCCTATGTTTGCTAGAGGTAATTGATCAACTAGTCTCCGCTCATGTGTTCTTTCTTGTGCATTATTCTGGGCTATGAAATAAATGAGAGATAATGCCATGTATGTAGATTGAAGGACTCCATATTAATAGGTTCATTCTCACAAAATTAATGTAGAGATTCAATGCCATTCAAAGAAACATCAGGACAGGTTATTTTTTAAAGAAATTGACAACTCTCTGTAAATTTATATAAAAATGAAAGAAGCTCGGATAGATAAAACTAGCTTGAAAAAGAATAAAATTCACTTCCTGATTAAGTGACAGTAAACAAGACAATGTGATATTGGCATAAGGATATACAAATTTATCAGTACAGTGTCCAGAAACTCACTCACACATACATAGCCAATTAATTTGACAAAGGCACCAAAATAATTCAATAGGGAATAATGATGTTGGAACAACTGGACAAACATGAAAAAAAAAGAACTTTGCTCTTTACCTCATATTATACACAAAAGTAAATTCTAAATGAATCAAAGACTGAAATCTAAAGCTAAAGTAAATCTTCTAGAAGAAAACACAAGAGGAAATTCTTTGTAACTATGAAGCAGGCAAAGATTACTTAAGAAAGAGAAAGCAGTAACTATGAAAGACAAAACAAATTGGACTTCAATCAATATTAAATATTTCTACTCATCAAAAAACACACTACTAGAGAAACGAATAGGCAAACCACAGTCTGGAAGAAAATATTTGTAATACATATATCTGACACGAATTTGTATCTGGAATATACAAAGAATTCTTAGAAATCAGCAATAAAAATCCAAATAATGCACATTTTTTAAAGGGCAAAAGTCTTAAATACTTCAAAAGAAAAGGTATATAAATGGCCACTAAACACATTAAAAGGGACCCAATATCATTTGTCTTTAGGGAAATGCAAATTAAAACCACACTGAGATACCAGTTCACACCCACTAGAACGGCTAAAACAAAGACTGACAATACCAAATGCTGGTATGATATACAGCAATTGCAATTCCCATACATTGCTGGTAGGAAACTGAAATGGTACAACCACTTGAGACAACTGTTTGGCAGCTTCTTAAAAAGGCAAACATACATCTTACCTTACAATCCATCAATTCTACTCCTAAGTATTTACCCAATAGAAATGAAAACATATTCTAGTACATATATGCTCATAGCTGGTTTATTCATAAAATTGCTAAGAACTGGAAACAATCTAAATGTCCCTCAACAGGTGAAATGGACCTATATTGATATAATAAAATACTACTACTCCTCAGCCATAAGAAAGAACAAACAATAAGTAACAACACAGATGAGACTCCAAAAATTATGATTGTTCTATTCCATTCACATGAAGTCCAAGAAAAGGCAAAACTAACATATGGTGATCAAAACCAGATAGTAGTCTGTAGAGTGGGAGGATGTTGGGGGAAAACTGACCAGAAGGAGCATGAAGGAACATTCTGTAGTGCTAGAAACATTTTGTATTCAGTTTGGGGAGGTAGCTACATATGTGTATGCAACTGTGAAAATCCACTGAATACATTTAAGATCTGTGCATTTTATTATAAGTAAGTAGTTTCTCAATAAAAGGTATTTTAGATTTTTTTAAGGTTTGAGCTGTGGTATCAGAAAGAACTAGGTTCAAATTGTGATGCATAATTTTTTATCTTTGTTACCCTGGGAAGTTCCTTACCTTCTCAGTCCCCTAGTTTTCTTATTTTCAACATGGAAATAATAACAGCACATATGTCACAGGATTTTAGTGAAGATCAAATGAGATAATGGATAGGAAACACTTACTACAGTGCAAGAGAGTCTGCTTAGAAAACCTTCACTATTATTAATTCATTATTAATAAAAGTCTTCCAAAGAACAGTCCTAATACAATCACAGCTAAGTACACATGCAATTCTCTACCTAAAACTAATTTCTTGCCACAGTAGTTTACAACAAAAAAAGGCTCTTATGGCATTGTAGTTACTGTTTTAAAAAAGTGATATTTGTAAAATTGCTTTTAAATGGACAATGGAAAGACACAGGATTGCATTTGCAGCCACAATAACAGTGGATTATATATTAACAAACAACCTCCCGCCTAAGTCATCATCATCGTCTCTTTCCTGCATTATTTCAATAGTCTCCTAACTAGTTCCACAGTTCTTACATCTTTCCTTAGCCTATTACCCTAGGGAATCCAGAACAATTTTTTAATAAACATAATTTTGATCATGTTATGCCTCTGCTTAAATTTGGCTGACCATGCTCTCTTAAGATAAAATCCACGTTTCTCACCATGAGCCGGAGGACCTTCCATGACATAGCTTTTGCTTACCAATCCAATTTCAGTTATGCTCTTCCACCCTCACTAAGTGAACATGAACTACACTGGGCCTTTCCTTTGTTCTTCCAGCATGGCAAATTCTGTCTAATTTCCTGACCTTTGCACTTGCCATTTCTTTTGCCTCACGTGCTCTTTTCTTGCTGGCTGCTCCTCTTCTCTTGAGTCTCAATTCAAATGCCTCATTCTCAGAGAAACTTTTCCTGGTCACCCTATCCAAAGCTGGTCTTTCTGAATCAATTTCTATTACATCACCATGATAGCACTTTATCTTTGCTGCACTGAAAGTCTGTGTCCCCTCAAAATTCATATGTTAAATCCTAATGCCCAATTTAACGGTGTGTAGAGTTGGGGCCTTTGGAAGGTGATTAGGTCATGAAGGCAGACCTCTCATGAGTGGAATTAGTGTCCTTATAAAAGAAGCCCCAGAGAACTCCCTTGCCCTTTCCACCATATGAAAACACAGAGAAAAGGTATCTATCTATGAACAAAAAAGCAGGCCCTGATCAGACACCAAATCAACTAGGGATTTGATCTTGGACTTTCCAGCCTCTAGAACTGTGAGAAATAAATCGCTGCTGTTTATAAGCCACCCAGTCTATGGCATTCTGTTAAAGCAGCTTGAAGAGACTAAGACACACGTATTAACACCCGTGCACATCTTAGGTATATGTTTGTTGTCCGTGTTCCACCACTAGATTATAAGCTTTATAAAGACAGAAACTCTTTTGTTCACCTGGTATCCTCAGTTCCTAAAAAACAGTAAGTGTTCAACAAAGTTGTTATATTAATTAATGAATTCATAAGGTTGACTACAACTCTTTAACTTTTCAGATGGCATTAACAGCAAATTCATTTCAACAACATACTTATTGTTAACCTTTTTTTCTAAGCTCCTCATTTCATGTTCTGTTCACTTCTTGTTTTCATGTCTTGTGTTTCAATAGTAGTTTCTTCAAAATAATATGATGAATTAAAATGAGAGTAGTAAGGCTAGAAAGTCTCCTGAGATGAAATAATTTTATATCCATAGCAGAAAGGTTTTCCTGTATTTTAGAGATATTTTACTAAGGTACTCATAGATAGTATTAGCCATATATACTATAAAAACATTTGCTGTAGGTAGAAAGACATCTTCTACCAAACTGCAATGTACACATATTGTTAGTGAAACATTTACACTGAATATCAGGTTCATCAAGGATCAAACTACAAAGGAACCAAAATCATTTCATTCACATAGCCAAGCCTATGACTGAGACATTTTCCACCATACAAAACTTTTTTACCCAATTCATGGAACTTATGATTCCTTCACCTGGCTATAGAAAAGAATGAAACTGTTAACTGTTTAAATCACTTCCCTCACAGCAACTTTCTTCCACTTGCTCATTGGTTCAACTCACTGACTTGACTCTCCTTCTGTAGAGTGAATACCTGACTTGACTTTTTCTACCTTTGTTTATTTTTATATCACCTGTGCATACAATATACCAGGTACCACACTTTACATCTTTTCTCACCAACTTATACAACGGCTATAGGACTTACCACTGAACTAGTAGAGTCTTGTAACCAGAAACACAAAGTCACTTATTTAGCAGTTACTGTGGCATCACATATTTCAAATGACTGACTTAAAAACTGAAACTCATATAACCCTCAGATTTTATTTGTCATTCATTTCAATATTCACCAACTGAATATTTTCAAGAAGTGCTAGCGAAAAGCCAAACTGAGTGACTAGCATTTCCACCTCTCTCCCATAAATCTGCTTTCACTAAAGCAACACCAAAAAGCAAAGACATGCCACAAAGTAAAAACAAAGATAATGGACATAAAATAGAACTAAGGGTTAGGAGAACTAAGAAGGTCAATGACCGCAGGCCATTCATTTTATAACTCTGTGTATTAGCATTCCCGGGTCTAAAGAGGCACTCACCAAATCTTCCCTAATTATTTCTCAGGCCTTATAAAGAAATAAAATCACAATTGGAAATAATGTCAAAAAGTTTGAGTACTATTCAAATGATGCTCCTGCTATTACTGAGTTTCTAAAGAATCAAAAATTAATAGTGTAATAGATGAAACTATTTTCATAAGCACTATATAACATTATCTTCATTAAACAAGTTTTCCTATCATTTTATTTCTTGATGATGAAAAAACACTTCAAAGTATAAAAGATAATCTAAGCCAGGGTTATTGCTTTTTTTTTTTTTTTTTTGAGACAGAGTCTCACTCTGTCCTCCAGGCTGGAGTGCAATGGCGTGATCTTGGCTCACTGCAACCTCCGCCTCCCGGGTTCGAGTGATTCCCCTGCCTCAGCCTCCTGAGTAGGTGGGACTACAGGCGCGCGCCACTATGCCCGGTTAATTCTTTGTATGTTAGTAGAGATGGGGTTTCACCATGTTGGTCAGGCTGGTCTCAAACTCCTGACCTCATGATCCGCCTGCCTCGGCCTTCCAAAGTGCTGGGATTACAGGTGTGAGCCACCGCACCCAGCCTATTGCTCTTTTTATATGGCCCTCTCTCATAAACTTCATTCCCATTTGTTATGTCCACAGCCGTATAGAGAAGTAATATGATTACAGGGCCATAGGAACCAGATCTAGTTCTATGTTAAACACTTTCTGGGTGATGTGAGGTGGGTCATTTCACTCCTTTGGGCCGGGGTTTCTCATCTTTAAAGTTAGGCAACTAGAGTCCAGCAGGTGTCTAGACTCTTGGGACATCAGCACTCCTTCTTTTTTTTTTTTCTTTAAGAGACAAGGTCTTGCTCTGTTGCCCAGGCTGGAATTCAGTGGTGCGATCATAGCTCAATGTTGCCTCAAACTTCTGGGCTAAAGTGATCCTCCCACCTCAGCCTCCCAGGTAGCTGGAACTATAGGTATGTGCCAGTATGCCCAGCTAAGTTTTTATTTTTTGTATAGACAGGGTCTCCCTATGTTGTCCAGGCTGGTCTTGAACTCCTGGCCCCAAGTGATCCTCCTGCATGGGCCTCCCAAAATGCTGGAATTACAGGTGTGAGCCACCGTGCCCCACCCTGCACTCCTTTTTAATGTCGAAACACTTGCATTGCCACATGACAGCAGTGGTGTTTCTAATATTATTGGTTGAGCTGTTATGAATTCAGTAAAACTTTTAAACAAATTTGACTTTAATCAAAATGATATTAATTCACTATGGTATCAATTACATGATAATTCACATATTTTTACATATTTTAATCAGCGTGCATGAATTCAAGACCTCTAGGAGTAATTCAATGATAAGAGTCCTGCACTCACAATTTAGGCACTTTATAACTACAGCAGGTTTAAGTCATCAAAGAAATGTGACTTTTTACATATTATTTAAATAAAAGGAGCTAAACGTGAATTTTCTATAGCTCCTCTGACTCCCTGAAAAGTTCATGCCTATTCATTTAGAGTTAATAGCTATCTCATCTTCATCTATGCAGCGCATCCTATCAAAATATATATATATTAGGAATATAGATATATTAGTGCTTCTCTACTAGAAGCACTGTACAATATAAATGAAAAAGACTTAAGGTCAGTTATTTCATAATTTCCAAATGATTTCAAATAAACACAGGGTAAAAATTAATTTAAATAAGTAATGGATATAAAGTAAAAGAGTTTGCATAGGACAGCTTTAACAAAAAGTTGGCCCCTGGAGAAGTTTTGAAGAGAAAGGTGAGGTAGACTAGTGGAGAGCTTGAGGGGTGAGAGTTGTATGTGCAGAGACAGAGACTGAAATGATAAAGCAATGTGCTTAATGACTAATGGTGATATTCGGCAAACCAGAATCAGGAATGAAAGAACCATTTAATGCAGCTTCTGAAATGATTTCAAAAGAAATCTTTTGAATACTTTCCTATGTTCCTGTAATAACAGTTGCCTTCCATTTATTAAAGGAGCCTTGGTCCTCAGTGTCTTTTCTCCTGAGTAAGCATTTTTACTTTAGTTAGTTTTAAAATGCCTAGGCATGAACACCACAAATGAAAGATCAAAGAGTAACTAGATGCTGTCTAATTTAAAAAACTGTACTCAGCAAGTGCAAATCCTTTTTTAATTGCTAAACTGAACATCTGGGTTTTTTCTCTACTTCTTTTCAGCCTGTGAGTTAAGTGAGTTAAATATCCTCAAACAAAGGGAAAAGTCAAGTTATCAGGTATAAGTATGGCTCCAAATTAAATACCAATAACGTTGAAATTATCAGAAATTAATTTGCCTTTCTATTGATGCTTTGATATCATTGTAAAAGCAGAGCTATGAAAAAGATATAGTTACTTAACATGTTTTAATACAAAGACAAAATCCACTTTATTTTTTAAATACAGAAACATAGACTCTGCTCAAGCATGTAGCTTTTAAACTGTGAAATTACATAAATGGCAGTTTCTTCATGAGTAAACTGTCATACATGTAACTAATTATAATGAGCCTCTTTAAAAGGTGATTACTTGACATCTGACTTTTAAAATACATACACAAACTAATTTTGCTCATGACTCAACCATTGGTAAGCCAAAGGGTAGGCTAAATATGTACAAATGAGAACAGGTTTCCATTCTGCTTTTAAGCTAAACAAGAAAAATGTTGTTTTTAAGGAAAACATTATTTCCATGTTAAAATATGAGAAGGATTCTCACCTGAGTTCTGTAATAGAATAAAAGAACAGACATTTTGTTTAAAATTCTCTTGTTGAAAAAACTTTTTTTTAAATAATAGGGGTAGTTGATGTGTTTTAGCTTTGAACTGAGGGCATAAAATAAAATCTGTGCACATGGAATCCTAAGAAACACAGAAGATGAAGAGTAATTTAAAAGCTTTGTTCTGAATGTTGGTTACAAGAGATTAGTTCAGTTGTTTCAACTTACTTTTTTTCTCCTTAACTCTTTCTAAAATAAAACATTAAATGGGCATGAAAAATCTCGTGATGATTTTCATTTGATCTAGTTCAGAGTGTACAAATGGAAAGGAAGGTCATAAAAATACTTCTTGAATCACAATTTACAAATTTGCAAAATAATATTCTACTACATTCTAAGGTAGTAGAATTTTTACATTGTTCTCTTTTATTCCTATAGTAATTTTTTTATTTATCCACTTCAAAAATAATTTTTCCAAATAGAAGGCATATATACAAATTACTTAACAAGTATGTAAATCAAATAGTTCAAATTGTTCAGTGTTATCTATTGACAATAAGAGAGTGGGAGGTCCAAGCACTAATGCCCAAGCAGCTTCCTTATTCCAAGAACCAGCTGACAGCCTAGTTAGACTAGTTATTAAAATGACAACACTTTCATAATCAAGATACAACAAATTTGAAAGGCTGATGGGAAAACATTTTACTGTGTTCATATTTCTCTAAATGCAATATATGCCTTCATGTTAATACAAAGTAAAAACCAAAGGAAAAAGTATAATATGACCATTCCACTTAATCTTCTAAAGTGTCTCAAAAAGTTTTTTAAACCAGTTTTACTCCTAAGTTTAGGAAAATGGAAAAAAAAAAAAAAAGAAGCAGAAAAATCAACCCAAATGATCTAAAACATTTTACTATCTTACATGGCAAACTTCTAAATTTATAATCACCAAATGAGTAAAACAGATTCCGAAAACTACCCAAGACATTTTAAAAAAGTAAAACACACACAAACAAAACACAATAAAAACGTTTGCCTGTCCAAGAAACTACAATACCGATAGCATATAAGAGCCCAGTTAGAATAATACACAGGAAATATATATAAAATTCTGCCTTTTGCAAACTTGTACAGGCAAGGTGTGGTGGCTCACGCCTGTAATCCTAGCACTTTGGGAGGCCAAGGCGGGTGGATCACTTGAGCTCAAGAGTTTGAGACCAACCCGGCCAACATGGCAAAACCATCTCTACAGGAAAAAAAAAAAAAAAAAAAAAAAAAAAAAAAAAAAATTAGCTGGGCATGGTGGTGTGCGCCTGTGGTCACAGCTACTTGGGAGGCTGAGGTGGGAGGATCGCTTGAGCCCGCGAGGCAGAGGTTGTGGTGAGCTGAGATTGCACCGCTGTACTACAACCTGAGTGACAGAGTGAGACCGTCTCAAAAAACAAACAACAACAAAACACAATTTGTACAATACACAACTATGTATAACTTACAGAGATCAATAAAGTATATATGGTGCTTTATAATTTACAGTGTTTTCATAATAAATCATTTAATTCTTACAATAACTGAGAGATGCACAGGAGAAGGGTTATTATTCTAGCTGTAGTAATAAAATGATGTTCAAAAAATTAAAACATACTCTAGTAATTTAAAGCACAGCAATTTTGTAAGAAACAGTAAGGTGGCTCAGAAATTTTTACATTTAATGTGAACAATTTGGAAGAAAGGAAAAACAAAAAGACTAGATTAGCCAGATAAAAGACAAATGGCATTAAAGTATATTTATGTAAATATATTATCACTGTCATCTTTGCAAATGGCAACAAAAAATAAGAATTTCCATAACTTTCTACAAAAGAAAGTACCTAATACTGTGAACATCAGATAAAATAAAAATATCCTGTTGTTTATCCTCTTTGTTGGAGCATCAGAGAGACTTAAAAAGGTTCCACCATCTTTATATGACTATTCAGCAACGAAATATAGACGGGAAATCTTTACAAAGAAGTATGTAATCTACAACCCATACTGAATTTGAAATCTAAAACCTTCACTTTCAAATAGAAATAGCCACCTGACTCACTAGTAGAATTAAAAAAAAAAAAACAACACCCAGTAACATCACCACAATTATATAAAAGTGTATTTTATGTTACTGCCATCTTAAAATCAGATCTTCCAAGACATCCAACTTACTCCAATCCAATTTTTAGATGCTATTCTTCAATGCTGGTATATTTTGAATACAGTTTTACTCTATCTAGTGTTAGACACTGAGTGTACAAAGAAACATATTAAACCCTATAGCCTTCAACTAGTTAACCCCAGAAATCAAAACTGTGTATATCATACCTCAATATTTAAAATATACTAATGTAGAAAGGCAACTTACTACAAAAGTTAATCAGCTGGATTTTGTCAAAGTTTGTTTCTGTTTTGTTGTATTGCATTGTTTTAAATTGAGTGAAACAAAGGAAGAAGCGGATAATGCAATGGCACGTATTCCACATTAATATCTTTCTAAATTATTACTCATAAAAGTTCAATCAAGTTTGCAGATTCCCTGCAAGTCTAGGACATTGACAGCACTCCATATCACTGCAATGCAATGTACAGGGCATTTCATATTTGAAAACATAACAAACACTATGGCCTTTCATTCATATTAAAACTAATATGATAAAACTAGTTAAGTGAAAAATAATTATGAAAAACAGATGAAGGGCTAAAGAAAAAATGTATACTACAAAGCTAAAAGTTTAAAAAGGCAAAAATATCCCTCTGGTTCCTCGTGATTCATTAAATCACATTATCATACACTAAGAAGTCAAAACGTAAATGAGAGTTTAGAACTGGCAATGTCCAGTTCATCAGAATATCCAATATGCGCATTATGAAGAATTCCATCTTTCCCTTCAGGTAAATAAATACGCATCATGATGTATACTCCAACATCTCTATTTATGTCATAGAATATCAAAAGTAAGCAGTCTACAACATAATAATAGTATTTGGGGGTAAAATGATCTAGCACTTTCCTGTGTACAATAAAGAAATCAAAATTATAAACTTTATCACTGATATACTTTCTTTCTTTTCATTTCATCCAATTAGAATGTTCAATTTAATAATCATATATACCCTTGTAAAGACAAATCTAAAAAATCTTAACTGTTAACAAATGCCAAAAGATAGAAGCAACCTGCATGTCCATCAACAGACGAATGGATAAACTGTTGTATATACATAAAATGAACTATTATTCATTCTTAAAAAGAAATAAAATTCTGACACACACTACAATATGAAAAAACCTTGAAGATATGCAAAGTAAAACAAGTCAGACAGAAAAAGACAAGTAGTGTATGCTTCCACCTACATGAGGTACCCAGAGTAGTCAAATTCACAGAGACAGAGTGCAAGGGTAGTTGCCAGGGACTCGGGGGAGAGAACAGGGAGATACCACTTAATGAATATAGAGTTCTAGTGAAGGAAGACAAAAAACTTCTGGAGATAGATATTGGTGAAAGTTGTACGACGATGTGAATATACTTAATGCCACTAAATTGTACACTTAAAAACAGTTAAAATGGTGGATTTTATGTTACAAATATTTTTCCATAATATAAAAAATCTTTATTAACTGCATCTATCCTTCACTGTCCTTTATATTTTTGTTAAGGCATAATAGCATTTTTATAATGCTTTAGTAATCATTTCATATCATCTGGTTGTGAATCTTTATCTTTAAATATAGCATTTATTTATCATAATAAAATTGGAACTAGATCCAAAACAAAACATCAAGCTCTCTAGTAAATGAGAATATGCATTGGGAAAGAGTGAAGAGCTCTCATCTGGGTCAATGAATTTAGGCAAGGTCTAGAATCACTCATTTTTAATTTTTAATTTGTTCTCTCCATCTGGAAAGCCATAGTCACATGGTAAACATGCGCCTAAGACAATGTGCCTTTCAGGTTCCCTCATTATTTCTCACAACCTCAAAATAGGCTTTTTCAAATCACAATAAGTTAACCAAATTGCGTATGGTCATCTTGCTAATGTTAGAAATCAAAGTTTCCAATTCTCTATAAAAGAAGTGATAAATCACAGCTTTTATACAGCACAACCCCATAAGAATGAGTGAAGAATCTAAATATGTTCTTTGAAAAAAAAAAAAAAACTACTGTGAGAAAAAACTAAGTTAGATGAAATAATAAACTCCTATCTATAAAATCACTATACTTAGTTCTCTGATGGTTCTGCCTAAAGAAGACCTAAATATTATACAAGATGGTCTGTAAATGTTCCCTTCCAATCCATCCTCCACAAATAATGGTTTCATGCAGCTGTTTAAATATACCCATATGAAAACCCACAAGGGAGAAAGAATGTGTGGGAAAGTTAAGCAGTCTCATGTTTCCAGTAGACTTACCAACCTGATTTTTTTTAAATGAAAATAGGATATTGCACAATGAGTGAATGCAAAAAAATATTTTTAATGTGTTATTATCCTCTTTAGTGGACTCTGGCAAAACATAATTCTGGCAAAACATAACTTTTTATGGTTCCTGTATCTCCTTCTTAAGAATCCTGTCTATATATGTATATATCTCCATATACTAAATATATCACTAAAAATATAATGAAATAATATTAGTATATATTCACCATTCAAATATCAAGGGAAATTTTCCCAATATGAACTTTCCCATGTCACTGAAAATTTTGGGGGAAGAGTCAACTGAAAGGCTTTAAAAGGCTATTAATCCAGCCTAGTTTTAAAAATTAATCGAAGCATTTTATGAATGATGTAATATGGGGAACAATATTTACTAACTCACTTGGAAATATACATCAAATTTTAAATATATACAAAAATAAATAACACATCCCAAAAATGGGTTTTTGATTTGTAAAAATAAATATTAACTGTGAATTCAAAGATTCCTTCAAAAAATGCAACTTTCTTTGTTCTTTTCCATTCCTTACTGTTCATAGCACTTAGAACCACAGTGTAAATGGAAATACTTCATAGATGTGTTAATCTTGTTTTGTCAGGCAGATCAAGAAAATACAATGCTGCAAAAGAACTGAAATTCAACATTCAAAATTTCACTGGAAAGAAAGGCAGGGTGTTGCATTATTAGGCTTTCAATGAATCCTAAATGTACTCTTCAATTTAAAAGATTAAAATGGAAACTTCTCACTGACCATCAAACTAACCCCAGGTTTTAGTGAAAGAGAATTTCAATCTACTTCTCCTCAGTCCTCTGCCCACTATCAATCCCCAGCACAGCTTCCTACCCCAAAAGCAAAAGCCTAGCAAATTTTATGCCAGTGTCATAGGCTGTGGGTATCTGCCACAGCCCAGCAAGTAATATGCAAAAACAGGCACTTGCCAACAAAAAAGGAACAGGAAGGGGTGGATCCAATATAAGACTTATAAAACTTTCCACTCAATTAAAAGAAAAATAGCCATCTACATCAATAGTCTAAAAAAAGTCTATGATACAAATAAAGCTCCCAAGCCAAATTCTTTCTAGTAATAATTGACATGAGTAAAGAGATCATTCAATAATAGGTTGATGTTTCTTTGACATGAAATAGATGTTTCTTTCAACTCCAGGCATAGCTAATTTAAAATCATGGTTAAATAAAAACTTTCCTACATGATATAATACTTCTCATTTACAAAGTGAAAATGGTCATAATTTACTTTCTTATTCTGAAACTCAACTTCCATGTCCTGTTTTTTTCAACTTTTATTTTAGATTCAGGGGGTACATGTTCAAGTTTGTTACAAAGATATACTGTGTGATGCTGAGGTTTGGGGTATAATTGAACCCATCACCCAGGTACTAAGCATAGTACCCAATAAGCAGTTTTTTAGCCCTTGACCCCTTCCATCCTCTTCACTCCATTTCTTTTTCACACTTCAAAATATCTAAACTATTCCAAGTGTCTTGGCTATTAATTATATGCACATGTGTTATAATGCAAATTAATCTGTTTAGTAATAATTGAATCCTATACTATAGAGTACTATCTCATAAAATGTTTCCTTTGTATTTCTTGAATGTGTGTATGTACAGCATTTCCTCCATTCCTAGGTATATACCCAAGAAAAATAAAAACTTACGTCTACACAAAAAACTTGGATATAAATGTTCATAGCAGCATTACTCAGAATGGACAAAAGGTAGAAACAATCCAAAAGTCCTTCAGCTGATGAACTGATAAACAAAATGTGGTATACCCATATAATGAAATATTATTTAACAATAAAACATGCTATACTATGGATGCACCTTGAAAGTATTATGCTAAATGAAAGAAGCCAATCAGAAAAAAAAATTGTATGATTCCACTGACATGAAATGTTCAGAATAAAACCTATAGAGACAGAAAATAGATGAGTGGTTGCCTGGGTTTGAGGGAGAGGAGGAGAGGTAAGAATGATGAATCATTGCTAATAGGTAAGGTGTAATAAATCTCACATTTAAGTCAAGACCTGGACTCTTGATTTCCCATTCCAATCTTAGTATACTCTACTTTTCCCCTTCTCAGTTACAGTGCCACCATTAGATAGTTGGTTTGACTAGTAGTCATCTACTATGAGATGACTACTAGATCTAATGTAGATCAATAGTCATGCTTCCTCACTTTCCCTCACACCTCACAACCTTTCCATCAGCAAGTCCTAAATTTCCTCCTCCAAAATCCATCCTTCTCACTATTTCTAATGTCACCTTCACATCTCCCCTAGACTGCAAGAGTCTCCTAACTATAGTAGTCTCCTCTTAATTCAGTTTTGCTTTCTGAGGTTTCAGCTACCTGCAGTCAACCACCATCCAAAACTGTTAAGTGGAAAAATTCTGAAATAAACAATTAATAAATTTTAAATTGGGTGCCATTCTGAGAAGCATGATAAAATCTTGTAACACCTAACTCTGTCCAGCCCAGGATGTGAATCATCCCTTTGTCCAGTGGATCCACATTGTTTATGCTACCTGCCTGTCAGCCATCTTAGTTATCACAGACTGCTGCAGTACCACAGTGCTGTATTCAAGCAACCATTATTTTACTTAGTAATGGCCCCAAAGTGCAAGAGTAGTGATACTGGCAATTGGAATATGCCAAGGAGAAGCCGTTCAGCAAAGGAAACTGTGCTTCCTTTAAGTGCAAAGGTGAAAGTTCTCCCCTTAATAAGGAAATAAAAAATGTATATGCTAAGATCTATGGTAAGAATAAATCTTCTATCCATGAAATTGTGAAGAAGGAGAAAGAAATTCATGCAGTTTTGCTGTCGCACTTCAAACTGCAAAAGTTACATGCACAGAATAACTTTTATTATAGTATATTATTATAATTGTTCTATTTTATTAGTACTTGCTCATCTCTTACTGTGACTAATTTATAAATTAAACTTTATCATATTTATGTATGTATAGGAAAAATACAGTATATATAGTTTTGTGCAATCTGTAGTTTCAGACACCAACTGGGGGTCTTGGAACGTATCCCCCAGAGACAAGGGGAGACTACTATAGTCTTGCTTTCACTCACACTTCCTTACAATGTATTCTCCACATGGCAGCCAGAGAGATATTTTTTAAAACAAAATCCTATCACATTACTTCCCTGCTTCACATCCTTAAACGGCTTATCAATGCATTTAAAATAAGATCCAAATTCCTTAACTTGGCTAAAAGACTCTACACAATCCATCCCCTGCCTACCTCCCAACATCATCATGTACTTCTCTCCTTGCTAATTACACTCCAGCCACATTGACTTTCTTTCTACTCCTGTGCAAGCTCACTGTCACCTTGGTCCTTTGGCCTGGAATGTTCTTTCTTCGTATTTTCTCACGGTTTGCTTCTTTTCATCGTTAATGCCTCAGCTCAAATGCTTCTTCCTCAGCTCTATCTAAAGTAACTCCAATGAGGTCATTATCTAATTTATAGCCCTGCTATATTTTCTTCATAGCACTGCATGGTACTTATCTATCCAAATGCCTTTTCCCATGTCTCTCATCTTAACTCTCTTCACCAACCTACCCCCTGAATCAAGAACTGTGCCTACACACAGCAGTTGCTCAATAAATATTTGTTAAATAGATGAGTAAATGAATGAACAAATAATGATGACTGATATAATGAGGGCAATATAAGACATGAGAGACCTTGGGAACCAGAGAAACAAAGTCCAAGAGTTACAAAAGTTTCAGCATAAAAAATATCAAACTTTTCCTTATTAGATAAAAGCTAATAACTGGGGAAGGTACAAAGAAGATGTCTTCCAGAACTTTGAAGTCTGAACTCAAGAAACTGTTTTCTTTGTGAAAAATAGGGTGGTAGAGAAGGGAAAAATCATGAATAATTAGATTTTAAACATCAATAATAATAGCAATGGGAGAAGAAATGGGCAAAAGAATAATAAAGTGGAAAAAACATGGTATGTAAAAAGAAAAAACAACATCAAACACATTCTAATCACACCTACCTCAATAACAATTCTTGAGTTCATTTTTTTTTTTTCCTCAAGGAGCAAAGTAAACCTTTGTAGTAAACTTAGAAAAGCAAATTTTAAAAAGAGACAGACTTTTTAAAAAAGGTATTAGGAATACCAATGCTTTTGGGAAAACTTACCAAACCAAAAGCCCCAATCGTCACAGTCACTAAACCAGAGACATATAGATAGGAATGTAAGCAAGGCACAAGAAATAGAATATTCATGATGATGAGCCATATTCAACTTTGGTAATATGACATCCAGGATGAACCAATTTATGTTTTCATAGCATGTACTACCTATTTCTGATCTATGATAATTTTTATCTATAAATAGTACTTTCCTACTGATAAAAACTATGTACAACCCTGAGCCATCAAAAGCTGCCTGTAGAGTCCTTAGTTTATGCAGAAAAATGGAATGAAATTGAATCGTAATAAGGGAAACTTAGATTGTAAATTACAGATTTCCCAGGTTTCACTTTCAAGTAGAAAAAGAAATATGTTACTGAACATTCCAAAATGACATCATTCTGGCCGTTATTCCTAGAGAATAAAATTTTCTTTTCAATTTTTTGTTTTCTAACTGCCTCCCTCACCTCATCTCTCTGCTAGATGCAACTTGGAAGGAACATAACAGAATGACAATATCAAGGATTTTGCTATTAGCTAGTTTGGGTTTAAATTCTAGTTGCTCTATTATTACTAGCCATGTGAATTAAGAAAAATTAATGTAAACAAAAGATACCTCTTCTCCTTAAATCTTTTAAAAATGCCAGATTCTCTGCAGTCTCACTTTGCTGAGCCACAGGTTCTGGGAGCCATTTTTGGACACTTTGGTGCTAGATTCAAGGCCTGTACCTGCTAATGATTCAGGTTGTTACTACTACTGCACAATGCTTTTGGTTGTCTCCTTTCTACAGTCTCCAAAGACCATCCAACTTCTCAACCCCACTTCTATTTCTCTTCTTCTCAGCAGAACTATAACTGCCCTCTTCTCCACCTCAAAACCTTTCGGTATGTGCTGTTTTCTCACTCTTGGTGCCCGCTGAGGAAAAAGAATTCATTTTCCCCAAGCTTATCTCTTATTCTCACTCATGCCCACAACCTCCTCATCTGTGCCCAATAAATACTACCCTCTTTCTTTGCATTATCAGTCCTTCTCTTCCTTAGTCTTTTTCCTCTTCTTTCAAATAAGCTTTGGTTTTATTTATCCCCAAAGTTAATTCCCTTGACCTGAGGAATCCCTGAAATTACTCCCAATTCTCTTTTTCTCTTTTATCTTCCCTACTTTTTTTTTTTGAGATAAGAGTCTCACTGTGTCGCCCAGGCTGGAGTGCAGTGGTGCAATCCTGGCTTACTGCAAGCTCTGCCTTCCAGGTTCATGCCATTCTCCTGCCTTAGGCTCCTGAGTAGCTGGGACTACAGGGGCCCGCCACCACACCCGGCTAAATTTTTGTATTTTTAGTAGAGAAGGGGTTTTCACAGTGTTAGCCAGATGGTCTGGATCTCCTGACCTCGCGATCCGCCCACCTAGGCCTCCCAAAGTGCTGGGATTACAGGCGTGAGCCACCACACCCAGCCCCCTATTTTGTTAAACAAGCAAGCTTTTTCATGTTATCGCCATTTGTTCCTTAATCCCAAGAAAGTCATTAATTCTTTATCCTTCAGCAAACATTAAATACCTATTTTATTTTATGCAATGTGCTAGGTTCTGAGCATACGAAAACAAGTAACAGTCTAATGACCCAATCCTCGTGACCTTGTCCTAAACACTATTGAAATTCTGCCATATGGGAAATCAAGGCCTTTTCTTGGTCTTCATTTCTCTCTACTTCTCTACAATTCTGAACATTACTAGCCACCCCTCCTTTGCAAAAATTCCCTCCCTCAGAATTCAAATCACTGCATTATCCTAATTTCCTTCATACCTTTCTGCCATATCCTTCCATTTATCCTAAACTAGCCCTCTTTTCATCCATTAAAATGCAGTATTTCCCTACACCACTATCCTAGGCCCTCTTTTCTTTCCTTTCTAT
Organism: Homo sapiens; assembly: GCF_000001405.40. Lineage (NCBI taxonomy): Eukaryota > Metazoa > Chordata > Mammalia > Primates > Hominidae > Homo > Homo sapiens. Next base: position 113,744,595 of record NC_000004.12, read on the forward strand.
ACTCTCCATTGTTATCTTATCCACTAGCATAGCTTCTACTATCTTCTCCGTGCAAATGAATCACAAAATTGATTATCATAGCCGCAAAATTGATTATCACAGTTTTATAGATAAGAAAACCAAGGCTTGAGAAGGTCACAAGAACTTGGAAGTGGCAGAGCCACTTCTTGAATCTTGGCAATCTGATTTCACAGCCAATGCTGGTAACCTACACAGTACATTGCATGTTCTCCAGAGGCACTTTTCAAGGACCACACCCAATTTTCAAAGGTCTTTTTGATAAGTCAGTGTGAATATATTGTGTATACCTCAAATACATATCAATTAATCATCTTCCCTCATCAAAATCAGTTCTTGATTCTCACTTCTCAACTAGTTACACGAAAACTAATTCTCCCCATGACTCAGCTTTGAAACTTCAGCCCTCCTGCCACATCTGTTATTATCTTAAGGTTTCAGAATCTCAGTGTCTCTCATAATCCAGGCCAATCCATCGTATTCATTCACTGCTACCAAGTAACATCATAGAGGCTCTCTTTAATGTGTCTCTGGTATACTTAAGAGCAAATTTGCAATTTGGTAAACTACCTTTACGTGTTTTTAACCTTTTCTTTCCTGATTTCCCAGATTGTCTATCCTTTGCCCAAATAAACATTTTTGGTTCTTCCCTAAACATTGATACTTTCCTGCATTCCTGTGTCTTTGTCCTTCTTTCTTCCTTCTATGCACTGCCACTTCTGCTTCCTCAATGTTACCTTTCTTGCTTCTGCCATTAAATGTCATCACTAGGCTACACTGAATTCTCATAATACTTTCTTCTGATACTGAAGATACATATATATCTTCCCCATAATTATCTATGTATGTCTCCTATTCATCAAACCAGTTTGTAAGTTTTTTGTGGGAACTGGTCATATGTTATTATCTTCATGTCCCCCACAGCTTACTTTCGACAGGCATAATACAAATAGTTTTTCTCTTCTAATATCTTTTAGATAAAATGTTAACCTCGCTTTCTTTCCTCATTAATAGTAGATATAGGCTGTCACATTCCTCAATATTAATGTTAAGCTCCCAAAGGTATTTGCAGAAAATAAGTGATGTAGCGTTTATTTTCTTGGAGATAAAGCAGGATATAAAATGTTTTAAAGATAGAACATTTTTATAGGAATAGGATTTCTGACCCAGAAAGCTGGCCAAATTCCAATCCAGGTAATTCACTCCTGTTCCCCTAATCCTTCTGGGATTTCAGCTGGATAACGCTGTCTCCTCCATTCTCTGGCCCAGGAAGGAATATGATGTACCCTACAAAACAGCTGCAACATGCCACACGGGGATGGCAGGCCTTACAGCACTGGGCACAGGAGTCTCTAAATGTTCCTTACCCACACTCCAGAAGTACTACAGAACTCAATTAGGAAATGTCTGAAGGTCTTTGAATGAAAGATGCTAAATAAGCATTAGTGTTAGTTACAATAATTTTCCAAAGACTCATTTCTCATGCCCTTTGCCTCTTTTATCCCCTAAGCTTGTTATAGAAGGGCTGAATAAATTATTTGCATTCAGGGTGAAGGAGAAATTATCTGCTCAAAGCTAAGTGCTGTTTTTAAAATTGACCTTGTGTGTGTTCACTGTATATTTCTAATATGGTATTTCTAAGTTTAGATTTATTTGGTTTGGATTATTTCAAAACATATACCTTAAAACCTTCTATCTGTTTTAAAGTTTGTAGAAGGTCAACAAATATTAACTCAATTTCTATAAATCATTATTATTTTAAAAGTTATCTCAATGATCCTTTAGCCACCCCTGTTCATGCCTCAGAGCCTCTTTATTATTTTATCTTATTGGGAGATTATGGACATTATGATTATCAGCACTAAATGGAGGATACAGTGTTGCAGGTAACCCAATAATTGGTTCTCTGTCAATATAAGACAGTATATATTTTTTTCTTTCAAAAGGACTTTTTAAAAGTTAACAATTAAATCTTGTTTTCCCTTTTCCTGATCACACAGATGCATTGGGTGAAGGGGGCAAAGTCAACCCAAGGAAATTTTTCCCAAAAATAACTTCAAAAGTTACAGAAAAGTAGGTCTCAATCCTATCTATAGGAGGTAAATAGTCCTCGTTGACAGGTTTTATTTTTCTTCTCTAATTCTATTAGAATGAAAAATGGCCTGAAATCAGGAGATCTACATTTAAGGAACAGGAGTGACTCTGATACTAAAATTCTACTTGAGGTCTGGAATTAGGATTTTTCCCAACCTGCTTACTAATGATTATACCAACCCTGAGTCACTATTTTTGAAGTCAATAGGCTTTCTGCTCTACTCCCAAAGTTCCTACATCAACCAAAAAAAAAAAAAATCTACCATTAATAATATATATATATATATACATTGAGTAAAACAATGATCCTTTTTACCCCCTTTAAACTACAAGGCAAGCAGTCCTCAAAACTAATAAAAATAGCAAAATCTTACATATTAATTTTTTTTACTGTTGCTAAAATTCTTCTAACAGGGAAAAAATTGCATGGCTGGGCCTTGCTAGGGAGGCTAAATATTTAAATCGAAGTTGTCTTCTAAGTGAATGGAAGATTGTTTCATTATATAAATCATGGGCATAAAGAAGTGACTATTTCCCTACTACCAGCTTATGCCAAATTATAAACTATATCACAGAATTAATCTAACAGAATTTTGAACTTTTTTTTTTTTTTAAATTCAATAGGAAAAGCGTATGCAAATCTTACTGCTAAAAGTTCTAGGTCCTCAAATGTGTATTCATTAATCATAAGATGATATCATTTGGGAATCATTTTATTCCTTTATGTTTTCAATAAATACCTGTGGTGGGTGCCAAACACTACTCTTGACAATAGGCATTCAAGCAGTTAATAATGTCAGTACCATTTTTAGATATCTTAGTTTTGGATTTGAGCAGAAACTTATGAACTTTTTTAAACAGTCATTAATCCATATTGCAACTATAGGAACTACCTTTTAAAGTACTAGCCGATTTTTAAAAACAAATTCTAATTATCCTCCCGTCCTTTATTTTCTACTTAGTCACTCTTAATTTTTTGTATTGCCCCAAGGCTCACTAAAACAAAATATGAGGTAGGTAAGAGGTTAATTATTCCTCTCTTATCACCTGTTCATTTCAAGTAACTCAGTGTTGTAAAATTCTACAATCTGCCTTATTTAAGAACCTCCAACAGCTCTTGCCATACTTAATGATTCGTTGGAAGAAAAAACTCCCATTCTTTTCACCCGTTTTTGCATGTTTCATGAAACTCTATACCTGATAAGTCTATCACCAAGAGTTAGAAAGTGCTTTTCTCAAGTTCAGTCTTTATTGGTACGTTCCAATATTCTGGCTTCTCGTGAGTATTTTTTCAACATATACTTTGAACTTGTTTTTTTTCCTACCTATCTCTCAGTTCAAAAACTGATTCTTTTGGAAATCCAGTTCAAACATCAGCTCCTCTAGGAAGTTTTCCCTGACCTCTCATCAACCCAACAGTTATCTCCTACACCTCAGAACCCAGTAAACACTCCCATTGTTAGATTTATCAACCTGAATGGTAATTTTACTTGACTTTACATCTGTTCACCTTGAAAGGAGGGACTTTTGTCCTTTGTACCTTCATTTATCCAGCACCTAGCAGAAGGACCAGAACATGGTGAATAAGCATTTTTTGTTAAATTGAAGTTAAAATTTAGAATCACGCTCCTTAAAATTCAATTTCTCGCTCGCATACTTTGTCATTGGTGGAAACACACAAAATTTACAGGAAGTAATTAGGCAAGAATAATTTTGATGATATTTAATCCTCTAACCCATTAATTCTCCTCTATGAATATTTCCTAAGAAACTAATCAGAACTATAAAAAAAGTTATACAAAAGAATGTCTATAATAGTGCCAGTCATCATAGCAAAAAGCAAAAATTAAAAAAAATACTAGGAATACCAAAATAATTAATCAGTTTTCTAGTCACTTAGTGAAGTATAATTCACTTATTAAGAATTCAAAAGATTTGCAGTACATAGGGAAGTTTTATAATTTTAAGTAAAAAAGCAGGACATAAAATTGTAATATTTTAGTCCAGTATTCTGAAGAAAAAGAAAGTGACAAAATGTTAACAGTGCTTGTTTGGGGGAAATGAACTACAAATATGTCTTTCCCTCATTCTATTTTTCCATATTTCCCCAAATTCTGTAATTAGAATATATATATTTTATGATATGATTATTTTAAAATGTATTTATACAAAACTGTAATAAAGATTTATTTCAGAGGTATGTCTGAAGTTTGTAATTCTATACCTAACAAATATTAATGTTTAGTATTAAAGCATATAAAATTCACTTTATCAAAGTAATAAAATATTCATCATGGATACAATTTCTACAAAACTGCCAAAATGTACACCTGAACTAACTCCCCAAATCACTATTGCCACTATGATTAAAGGCTTTAAGTCATCATTTAAAAATATGATAGGAATACTTTTATGAAAAGAATATTTTCTCATATATAATAGCTATAAATAGAATGTAATATATAATATTAAATATATTAGAATAGGTATTAGAAATATGTCTCTAATTTAGTATATGTATTAGCACTGTAAAGCTATAGAATTTGGAACCCCGCCCCCCCCACCCAGTGTCTTGCAACATATCACACAAGAAATTTCCTTGAGGAGAGAACACAAGTAAGTGCTTTTCAACATGCATTCTGTTTAAAGAGCCTTCCAATACAGAAACAAGTACACTCTCCCTCACCAAATTTCTCAACTGACAGACACAGCAGTTGAAACAGCTGGCCTCTAACTGCCTTTACTAAAAAAAATCAAATATCCTCTAAGCTAATAACATCCATGATATGTATATCTAAAACTCTATAAAGTGTCACCATACTGCTTAAAAATAAGCTTTGTCAAAAAATAAATGAAAAAGTAATCAGATACCTCTGTAGAATGGATCAAAATTTTTTTAAACTCAAACATGTTAAAATAATTTAATCATGACATGAGTCTGGAATTATTAAAGTGGTGCTGATGGACACACAGACCATGAAAATGTTAGCCCTCATTAATGAGCCACTTTATAATACATGGTTTAAAAAAAGAGCAGCAATAAGAATTTGCAAGTAGTTGCTCAAAAAGAAAATACTGAATTATACAAAACTCTTTCCAATAAAGCAGAATTTGTCATGACAAAACTTATGAAATAATTTGTGAATTACAAATTAATTTATAGAGTTATTGTATGCTATTTGACATGAAGTCTTAGTCAATTTTCAATTTACTTTGCCAGTCATAAGTTTCTCTTTGAAGCATGTCTATTTCAAGATACAGAATCTTATTTGGTCATGCAATTATTTGTCCACTTATCCAACAAACATTTACAAGTATCTGCAATATTAATTACTGTGCCAGGCGCAGACTGAAAGATAAACTAAGAAATGTCACCAAATGCCTGAAGGCCACAACATGTATGACTGCAATACAAAGGGAGAAATCTGGCAAGCTCCATAAGATATGAAATATCTATTGAAAGGACAAAGAAGGAGACAACAATCTCTCTGGCTAGAGAAAGTAAGGAGAGGTGGGGGAAGAAGTTAGAGACCATGGAGGAGGCAGGACCTGCACTGGATCTTAAAGGAGAGAGTACTGCAACAGTACCAGGTGTACTCACTCCATCAGGAAGATGGAGCAGGAACTTTCTCCCTCCCTGTGAACAGATTGCTTACTCCCTTCTCTAGCAGGCTCACCTAATTTATTCAAAATACAACCTCACACATCAATCTTTTCAGGAAATCTGTGAGACCAACCTCCCCAAGCCTGTTTCTGCATGCTCTCAAAAGCCCTGTGCACGCGTCTATCACAGCCCTTTCACTAACTCTACTAAATGCCAGGCTGTCATCCACACTCATAGGCCAGGAAATACTTGAGGAAGGAATGTCTGTCTTTTACCTCTGGATCTCTAAAACTTATCAAGTTGCCCAGCAAAGCGAGTGCTAAAAGATCTAATGATGAGCTGAATAAACGAATAAAAAATGTGCAACTATTATCTACCAAACCCATTTAGGAGGCTATCTAAAAGAGTTGAAGCAGCCAGGCACAGTGAGTAGCTCACGCCTGTAATCCCAGGACTTTCAGAGCCTGAGATAGGGGGATTGCCTTACACCCAGAAGTTCAAGACCAACCAGCCTGAGGAACACAGAGAGACTCTGTCTTTAAAAAAAATAAAACAAACAACTACTTGGGCATGGTGCCACATGACTGTAGTTCCAGCTACTCAGGAGGCTGAGGCAGGAGGATCACTTGAGCCCAGGCATTGGAGGCTGCAGTAAGCTAGGTTCTCACAAATGCACTAGAGCCTGGGTAACAGAGAAACTGTGTCTCAAAACACAAAACAAAGAGTTGAAGCAAAAAGAAAAGAGAGTTCAAATTGGGATGGTGAAAAGGAAGAAATGAAAAAGGTGTTGAGATGGGATAAGAAAAAGAAAAAAATCAGGCATGCTTGAAAGCTTAGGAAAATTATTGTGCCATTCACAGAGGGGGAAAGTTGATGAGTCTACTGGGAATATGCTGAGTTTGGGGCTGTATTACTAACAAATAACCCTCAGCAGAAATTCAAATTATCCAGAACATTGCCTCAAAAAAATGCAAAAGTACTTATTTCCTCAACAAAACATCAAATTTTAATTTAAACACTAATAGCATAATGTGGCATATATCAACTATCCACAATTTCTTTATAAAACAGAAAATTTTGATAAATTTTCACTTACTATATTTACATTTAATAAGTTACTTTTATATAAGTTATTCATGCTTTATTTCAATGTGTATACATTATCATTAATAAAATTTTGGCCAGGTGCGGCGGCTAACACCTGTAATCCCAGCACTTTGGAAGGCCTAAGTGGGTGGATCACGAGGTCCGGTGTTCGAGACCAGCCTGACCAACATGGTGAAATCCTGCCTCTACTAAAAATGCAAAAATTAGCCAGGCGTGGTGGCACGCACCTGTAATCCCAGCTACTCAGGAGGCTGAGGCAGGAGAATCACTTGAACCTGGGAGGCCGAGGTTGCAGTGAGCCGAGATAGCACCACTGCACTCCAGCTTGGGCGACAGAGCGAGACTCTGTCTCAAAATAAATAAATAAATAATTTTAAAAAAAATTTTATCAGACATAGGAAGAAAATAATTTCCTGTTACTAAACAAATTCCAAATAAATTAAGCATTGCCTATATTTAAGAGGGTAAAATTATATACTAATATATGAGAAGTAATGTATTTTATTCCATGAGTTTACACATATACCACACAAAATAAAATAAAATACAATTTACCTAGAAAATGGCTACATATATTTATTCCATGAATGACTGGCCCACTGAGATCAGCCAGTTAATTAAAAAACCCCAGGGTATGAAGAAATAAAAAGAGGTTTCTCTCCTAAAAAAGTTAGGGATGGTGATTAGCTCTCGGGGAGATACAAAGGATAGGGATCAACAAAAAGCACACAGGTAGCTTCAAAAGTAGGGAGAATGTTCTAGTTATTGAGTGGAGGCTTATTGGGTGCTTATTGTTATAAAATTAAATATATATGATATAATTATATATATCAAATTTTATGCAATAAAACTTTTAACATTCCTATGTAATCAATGTAACTGAAGGAAAACAGGAAACCTATTGTAAAACAATTAACTGTATATAAATATTATATCACAATACTTTGTGTACCTTTATACTACTTGCTGCACCTAAGTTATTTTTTCAACAAATATAGAACTTGACAATTTTATATTTTTCTTTAAATTGCCACATTTTTGTAAGAATTTGCTACATACAACAATGTTGTTCAAAAGGAAACTACAAAACAACAAAAATTTGTCTTCCATTGTTCACTGGTTAAACAAGATGAACCAGAAGAGTAGAACAGCTTTCTGAGTAGGTTTCTCTGGGCTTCGGTTAAGGGCTGAGTTTTAGTTTGCAGTGACAACTGAATCATTTAGAAGAAGTAATCCTAGAAACTTACTGTATAGTGAGATATTTTTAATCAGTTAATGAATTAAGTTTACCAAAATACTGAACTCCTCTTTAACCATTTTCCTACCATTTTATAATAACATTTTTCACTATATTGTTGTCCTTCCAGAAGACAGCATGGAGGGACTGTCTGAAACTTCACTTTGATCTTGTTATAGTAGCATTTAAAAGACTATCTTCTCTCACAGGTTGGAACTCTAAATGTATTTTCCCAAAGAAATACTCAATCCCCCACACTGCAATGGGAAGATAAAATGTAAGGCATAGTGCTTTGTATGAAGGACTCTGAAGTTTGTAAGATCAGTTAAGCACACACAGGTAAATACAGACAGATTAAGATAAGTCCTCTCTAATAGCAATCAACAGGAGGTGACAGTGGAAAGAGTCAGAATTTACAGTCAGAGAAAACCAGATTGAAATCCTGACTCTTATCACTTACTAATTTTGAGGCCTTATACAAGAGCCTCAGTATTCTTTTTTAAAATGGACATAATATTGTTCTAGGAGGCTGCAGTGTGGATTAAATAAAATAAAACAAAGTATCTTGTAAATATATACTTATTGTCTCATAGAAGGGGCTCTTCAAATAATGGCTATTAATATTTATATTTTTCTAAATTATTATTAATGATGAAGATGGCATTATTGATTTTGGTAGTAATAAACATAGTTCTAAGGAGTTAAAATGAGACTGTAACACCAGAAAAGGGGCTCAGGTAACTAAAAAAATCAGTGATGTCATTGTGTCATTGTGTGTAATTACAATGATAGCTAAGAGATTTAAAAACAAAACCAAACAAACTTAACAAAAAAGCTGCCCTCTCTCCTCTTCAAACCTACCAATTTCCCTATGCTAGAGTAAGAGAAGTTATGGCAGATAAAAGGTCTATGATTTCTCCTTAAGTATTGCTAAATCTCTCAACTGGAATTAGAGGAATTTTGTCACTTAAGAAACAGCCTACGTCATTTAAAATAATTTTATTCTAAAAATAACTGTATACTGATAATTACAACAAATTTACCATATGAATAACATAACATTTTGTTATAATCAGATATTTAAACTACTTTGAGCAACTTCCCCAAATCATTTATTTAGACTTTTTTTTTCGGTTGGGTGGGGGCGGGGGTGGTACTTAAGCCCCATCTACATTATAGCTTTCAAAATTTCTTTAAATCAATACTATATGAAAGGCTTTCTTTATCTCCCTGGGCAGAAATAATCTTGTCCTCCTTTAAGAGCCCATAGTACTTTATTCATGCTTGAATTGTAATGCCATTCATGTCTTCTATTATGTTTATTTAGGTAGATAGCCTTTATTTTTCCTAACACTGTCCACTGAAATCATTTAATATTTATTAAATAAACACATAAAGACATGTGAATATGCTTAATGATCTATAAAGTGATTTGAAATATAAAGATATGTTTTACAGTTAAAATATTGCTAATACTCCATTTAATGCATTGCAGTGTAGTTTACTAGAAATACTATTGTAACTTAAAATCTTTAACACAGCCTCTATATAATCATTAATTGCCAATGATTTATTAAAACACTGCATACATTACACCCTAATAAATGGGGAAGACTGATGTTAAAAAATATACCAATCCAGCCCTAGAAATACTATGAGTCAACCTCAGTATAAGCCCAAGGAAGACTTTAAAAATAAATTAAAATTCTAGTTAACAAAAAAGTTAGATGCCCAAGAAAAGCCCAGTACATGTAAGATTTCTAGTAATTCGTGATTATTACCATTAAAAAGATCCATAAAAGGTGACATATTGCTAAATTTTAATTTTTATATTCAGTTTATTCAACATTTCAATGGAAATGAGAAGTATTAATCTAATTGTCTAAACAAAGTTCTCACACAATCAGGTAGAGGTTTACACTAGTTATTAATATCACAGTATGGCACCTGACAACCACTTTCTTTATTTTCTTCATTTAATGAAATACAGAAAAGAATTCTATTATTTCCTGGAAGTGTGGATATACTTTTTTTTTTTATTATTTGTGTCTCCTAACTAGTTCTGAAGAGCAGTAATGCTTTCATTCAATGAAAGAAGAAAATGAATGTTTAATATCAAGACCTATAGAAGAATGTAAATACAACTAAACGTAAGTAAAGGATACAAAATAATAAGGATGACACATGCCACTTCTGGGTCCATAACTGAAGAGTTGTGGAGATTCTATGTACAAATATAAAAATGATTTACTAATTTTTTTCTTAAAATGTTGTTCTTGCCAAGAAACCTTCAAATTTTAATTTGTCCAAATTGTTCCAATTTGCCAAATCAATAATGTATAATCAGAACTTAATCCATCTACATAGTCTCAGTTCTACTTCCAATTCAAGACAAGTAACCATGAAGTTGAGAAATTACAGTACTTTCTTGACTGCCTGGAAGCCAAAAATAAAAGAAAAGTAGCAAGAATTAGTTTTTAACATCCCTTTTACAACATCAAAAAAGGTTACTTAGGGATACACACACACACACACACACACACACACACACACAAAACATTTAGATTTTATAGATGAGGCCTAATTTTGCATACATGGTCAAGTAGTTTTATAAAGTCCTGATTCATGTACTACTAATATCACCAATTTAGGAATTAATAAAACTAGTAAAATCAAAGAATATCAAAATGACTTAACTGATTAAGCCTGAAGTTTTACAGAAATATAAAATGAAATCCCTTTTAACTTTAGCAATGGAGTAGAGGTAAAATACAGTTGTAATAACTTATTTTTTAACCCTATACTATAATGTATTATATTTTACAAAAACAGTGACTGTGACACATCAGAATCTATGTAATAGTCAAATGGTTTCTAACGATCAAGAAATACACTGGGAGATGAATGTCAAGAAGCCATTACTTCCACATAAAATATTTTACCACCACGAGGCTTTGAAATGCAAAATAAATCACAGGTACTATTTCTAAATTATCTGCCATCAGAACCATCAGTCCACTGGATTCTGAACTGCAGTCACAGCTCTTCTTGGACTTTATATAATTTGACAACAGTGTACAGTTCTAAACATGTATAAATAAACAGAATATCAAAGCAGCAGAAAAAAATTGGCTTTTGTTAAGTACTAATCTAACTGTGCTTGGGATTAAAATGGCGTAATTTCTAATTCTCATGAAAATATAAGGCAAAAATTCTATTATCACTATTCAACATTTACTAAGCATGCCCTCAATGCCCATCTAACAAAAACTTTTTAGAAGATAGAAATTACATATAAAATATAAGATGCTTGAGATGCTTCCATACTACTTATTTTCAAAATAAGCCAAATTATATATGAGTGTACCCATCTACATGCTCAGTATAATGAATGTTCTATGCACGCACATGCTAACACAAAAGGTAAGAAATTCTTCAATTGACTCAGAGTTCCCCAAATATGGTATGTATGACTAACAGCTGAGAGGAAATACAACTGAAACTGTCTGCTGGAAATCCATTAAAATCTAGGCACAGAAAAATGCCTGGTTGATAGTATAGTTGGATGTGCAAATTTATGCAGGAATGTAGCCAAATCTTTGGCAATTCCCTCATGGTCTTAGATTTATTAACAATAGCCCTTTCTTTTTCAGCTGTAATGTTACATTTAAAGAACATTAGTGGAGTTGGAGGACCTGCCTGGTCTTTAAAACAAATAGACTAAAGGCTTGGGTATACAGAGTCATGGAATTTCAAATACAAACAAAAATTTGCACAAAAAAAGTATGCTCCACAAAAGCTTCCATATGCAACTCTCAAAAATCAGTACCTTAGAAAAAACAAGCATACTATTTTGCAATTCTTTCTACATTTGCCTTTGAACGTATTCATTATTTTAAAAATTTTTCTGCAAAAATGATTTGTATCATCTTCTCTGAAATGAGTGTTATTAAAAGACTTCATAGGTTAAGACATATCCTCTTAATATACTACTTCACGGATTTATTTTCAGTATTTGCTTGTTGTTAGGAGTAAATTAAGTACTTAACTCTTACAAGTCATTTAACAACCACATTTGATTCTTGTTACTCTGTACTGAGCCCCTTCTATGCTCTCAATTCTGTGGAATGTTGTATCAAAAAATGAAAGCATGGTATTTTCTTCTTCAAGAGTTTATAATTCAATATGAGTACAAGTTAAACAAACGTATTCATTCAAAGGCACAAATATTCTACAACCAGTTCTGATTAGTGTGACAATATAAAATAAAATTGTTGACCATTTTGAAGGAAAAGTTCTGTAATTTTTCAGGAGAACAATAATAAGAGGTAAAATTGACACAATACTTTGCAGTTTAAGAAATGATTCTCATTGAATTCCCTGAATCCTCAGAACACCCCATGAGACTCCATGAGTATGATTTCCCATTTTACTGATGAAGAACCTGATATCCAGAAAAGGAAAGAGACTAAACGAAATTTATGCCTAAGTAGTAGAGCAAAGATTCAAACGTAGTTCTCACAGCTAAATCAAGGCTGCCACTGGATTTATAAGTTCTTTCATAAAAGTAATCTAATTTGATCATTATGACAATTTTATTAGATAATAATAGCAGATAATATTCATTGACTGCATATAGTGGGGCAGGTGCTGTTCTATGCTATGTTAATTCATTCATTCCACACAAAACCCTATGAGGAAGGGTTCTGTTATTACTGCTATTTTACAGATGAAGAAACTGAGGCTCAGAGAAACTAGTTAATGTGCTCAAGATCACACAGCCAGTAGGTATGGGCAGCAGAAGTTAAACTCAAGAGCTTCTGGTTGCAGCGTTAATAATGTTCTTCACCACCAGCTCACTCTTAGGTACGTTAACCTACAACAGGTTAAGAAACTTGCCCAAAGTCACAAGGAAAAAAAATTGCAGAAAACGGGCAAGAAGAATGTCTCCTAACTCTTCACCCTAGTTCCTTTTTCTAAGTAGAATAATGAAAATCATTACATCCAGAAGCGGTAAAAAGCTTTGGGACATGTAGGTAGTTCTTTGAAGCAGAATATGAGCAAGTAAGGAAACACTGGTGGAGTAGCAAGGAGAAAAGATTCCATCAGGCCAAAGAAGGCTTCTTCTCCACAGATTGAAGGGAAAAGAGAGTAAAATGTATGTGACCAGGGATAAGTACATTTGTTATTCTGATTTAGGGAGGACAAATTCAGATGAGTGAAGAGGGATGGCTCTAATTAAGAAAGTTAGTAAAAGTGAAGCACTACACTGATTTGTTTTGAAAGAAACACCACCAAAAATCTTGGAATAGGTATTGTAATGCTTTCAAAAGAAATGATACCCCCACCACAGCCAAAAGTATCTAGCACACAGAAGAAAATAAGAGAAGCACTGAAAGATTCTAACTACACATTTTCATTTTTTTAAATTAAAATGTCACTTATAGTTTAGCAATTCCTTTTCATTGTTAAAACCTTTCTGTGGAGTAGAGACTAAGAGAACATAATTAACATAATATTCTTCTCATTAGTTTTCATACCATGATTCTATGGTGCTGGTTACTTTATAGATCTTTCTCAGAATCATGTCAAAATCAGATGAAGGAAATTAAAACAACAACCCATGTGAATGGATAAACTAAAATACCAACCTAAACCTAAAATGCATGTTAAAAGTAGAATTTGCAATAAATATGGAAAAACTAATCATGGCAGAGACCGAAAGCAATGATGCCAGGATTTTGGTAAGAAGCACTTTTGAAAAGACATATTAAATGAGGAAAACTAAACCTAATGGAATTTCTTCTCTCATTACTTAAAATAAACCAGGTCACTGAGATGAGCGTACACTATGGTATTTTGTTCATTTTCATTTCATTTTTATACCATAAATTCCCATGGAAATACCTCAGACACGTGCCCACAATAATTGGAATGCCTAACATTTCAGCGTAAGTACTTTTGCATGAGTTCTACTAAATAAAAAGAATGCAGTGAGAGCCCTCCAAGTTTTTTGGTTATGTCAACAGCTATTTTACGAGTATGAATTATCTCTGTACCTATAAACTACATGTGTAAAATACATTACATGAGTCTGTGTGAAGCCTTAATGCGAAGACCAAGGTCTGAGCTGCACACAGAAACATCAAAATAAAACTAAACTTCCTAGAATATAGCAATCATAAATTTTCTTACCAAAGCTATTACTGTTAAATATACCTTGATGAATTAAGTTCAAGTGTAACTACAATTGAAATGTATGATTCAACTGAGCTATGACCTACTTCCCTCTCAAAAGCAAAAGGGAATTATGACAGTTGTGAGACTTATATTTTTCCATTCCATGGTCTAAAAGTTGTTTTATACTTAAACTATAAGCAAAATGCACCTGACATTTATTTGCTTTAAAATATAGTTATTCATGCTATTGCTCATAGGACAGATAGAATTTTAATAGCAATGTATCAAATAATAATTATATCTTTCCATGTATTTTTAAGCTGTACAGACCAAGAAGCATTCAGGAAGAAAATAATCTTAATATATAATATGATACCTAAGTCTAAAGTTCAGTTATAACTACATGATATATTTACATACAACAGAACCTATAATCAACATGACAAATACAAAATTAACCAATATATGTGGTTGAAAATACCCACCCCTAGCAGAAAGCTTTTTGGTGTTGATAATTTTGGCAGCATATTCTTGTCCAGTAGGAATTTTCATACATCTTCTCACCACTGAGAATGCCCCCCTGGAAACCAATAATTAGCAGGTCATTAATATAACAGATATAATATTTCATTAAAAATTTATAAAATCTGAGCATTTTTATTGATTTTAGTGGATTGCCAGTGAAGTACAGTAATATCCAGTAAATGAACAATTCTTCCTGGAAACCCAGACTTTCTTTAATGTTGAAGAATAAAAGTAAATTTTATTTAACTGGGAGCACACATTATTAATCAACAAAATGAAAGGAACTGCCAATTATGACCGCTCTTGTTTGCACAAGAAATTTGAAAACATTTTACAGTTCACACTCACAGCACCAAATGCTCTGAGAAAAACCCTGCACAGAACAGAGCAGACGAGGAGCAGCAAAAAAATCTGCTGCCTACTTATTTTGGTAGGAAACAAAAAATTAATGTGGTTCCAAGTAAGTAAACATGACGATTATTTTCATTAAAATATAAATCTTGAGCACATTAGTGTGGTTTAACAAATCCTGGTATGGTGATTTCTCTATGCCTTGTTTTGGACTGGGGGAGGGGAGAGATTTGAATTAAGCTGCTCTTCCGACATATTCTCCATGTTTTAACACCAGACAATATATACATATGTAATTTTTATTACTTTTAAAAATATTTACCTTTCCTTTAATTACAGTATAAACCAACAACATACATATAAACGCACTCCTTTCATAAAAGTAACAGTCGAAACTAGTGAAAGAGGAATTGGGTTTGGGTTCCATGCTACAAAAATCAGCATTCACGGCTTGGCCCCTAGGTCCCTTTGCATAAGTCCTCAGTAGGTCTCCTGCCTCCTTCCCTAACATCTCCAAGTAGTTCTGCCAGTCGGGTGAAGGAGGTGGTTTTACACAATGCTAGGCTACGCTTAAGAGCGCTCTCAGTCTCCAGAGGGCTTTTCCGTTGCCTGTATAAATAAATCCTCCCAGAGAACGCAAAGATGCACACGTAAATCCTAGGAAGAATGATGGTGAGCGGTAATCTGGTGCAAAGAACAACACTGGATATAGGGCAAGGGGTTGGGTTCTGTTGGGTGGCCCTTTTCCTGGACAGAACAACTACTGGATGCGAAATAGACTCTATGCCAAGTTGAACTTTCGGCATCAATAAATATGGCACCGTCTGAGGCTGTGAGTTCTCATCAGTACCTGGGTCATACGGCCGACACGCCGGCTAACCAGGAGGCATCTCTATTTACAGAAAACATGATCTATGTTGCATTTTACATGGGTTCTAATTTCCTCTCCAAACACACATTACACACAGGCGCGCGCGCACACTTCTCAGGATGATAGCTACAACTGCAGAGATCGTAAATTCACTAAGTCTCTCAGTGCAGGAGGGTGGGGGACCGGGAGAAGGTGGGCTAGGGACCATCAAAATGAGCCACAGTTGGAGTAAGGGTCCTACCCCTTCTGTGCTCCCTCCCTTTATTAAGACAGCACCTTCCCCAGAGCTGACAAACCAGGGGCCCTCCTCCCATTCCTCTCCCAAACTCCCTCGCCCCAAGACGGAGGCCGGTGGGTCGGGGGCAACGCGACCCGCCCTCAGCTGGAAAGGGGATATGCGGATGCCGGGCAAAGGTGCTTACTTTCCAAGCTCCTCGAAAAGCTGATACTCGTCCGTGAACCTGGTGCAGGTTGTGGTCGAAGCCATCCTCGGTCCGGGCTGTGCCCTGGCTGGGAGCGCGACGGACCAGAAGCGAGCAGACGCGCGGCTAACCCCGGGACTGGCCCCGCGGCGCTGTCACCCAGGGCCGCTCTTACTTTCCTGGTCCGAAAGTAGCTCGCCCGCGAGGGAGTGTGCGCAGGGGCGGGGCGGGAGGGGAGATGACCAGAAAGGGTGGCGTGGGGTCTCCTCCCCACAGTCCGCCGATCCTCCTCCTCCTGCGGGCCTCGCTTCCTTCTTCTCCACTGGACGCTCCACCCGCCCCTTTTCCAGTCCCTGTCCCCAAATGCAGGGGGTAAAGTACTCAAGAAGAGGGGGCCGGGAAATGGAAAAACAGCCAGGCACGGGACGAGTGGCAAGCAGTTGCGAAACGATCCGCACTGGAGCAGGAGGAGTAGAAGCAGAGGGGAGGGAGTCCGAGGGGGCGGAGGTGGAGTGCAGCGGGGCCGAGGCCGCGGAGCCCAGAGCGGACAGCCTGAGCCCAGCGGCCGCTGTCAGCAGGCTCAGGCGCGGGGCGCGCCGGGGCTCCGACGAGCGTGCGCGCCCGAGGCCGGCTTCCCTCCGGCGGGCGGCAGCGGCTCCGGCGAAGCGAGGCACCTTGGCGGCCTCGCGCTGCTCACGAGCCCGCGCGGCTTCAAGACGGCGCGGCGAGAGAAAGAGCGCTCGGCTCAGGCGAAGCCTCTTCTGCCGTCCCCAGGCCTCCGTCTCCTCCTCCGGCGCCTCCTCCCGCCGCTCCCTCCGCCTGCCAGCACCCCCTCCCTGGCGAAGCCCCCTCCTCGCTGGTCCCACACCTCCCTCTAGCGACTCCAAGCCTGTCCCTTCGTGGATCTCTCGCACTCCCTCCTTTGGTTGCACACACGAGCACACCAGTCTAGGGAGAAACCAGGTGGGTGGAGGAGGATGTGCGGGGGAGAAGACTGGAGGTTTGGGTGAATGAGGCGAGAAGTCACAGTTACCCATTTAAACCCGCACAGAGAAGGCTGCCTCAATCTGGGGCTGACTGAGCGGGAAGATGCAGGGCAACTCGAGGATGGCCCGGGGCAGCCGCCCTGGGTCGCGGAAGCCCACGCCCCTGTTTTGGGCGCCGGGCAGCAGGGACTTCTCCAGGCCGGTTCCCGGGCCACGACACCCGGTGGGCCGAGCAAGGGAGAGCAACCACTTCATCTCCACGCCGCTCAGAGTTGACACAGCAGGGGCCGGATGTGGGCTGTTCACTGCTCTCAGAGAAGGGTCCCAACCCTTCCCACAGCCACCAGCGACTGTCGGGGCAAAACCCAGCCTCAGCAGGGTTCACTGCGTCGCCAGCTCCCCAGAACCGGGCGCAGGTTTTCTCCCTCCCCCGCAGCCCCTTCTGCAAGGGGCAATGACGGCCCCTGAGCCACATTACACTTGCCACCTCCAGGCCCACCTCCCCCGCTGTTTTCCAGGATGGTGGCTGAGACTCTGGCAATCCCCAAAGGCCTTTGCTTTGGCTGTGAACGTTAAAAGAATGAAAGCAAAAACTCCGCCGCACAACCACACCTTCCCTTCCCTTCTGAGTAACTCCCCTGCAACCTCAGTAAGTTCTGATAGTAAGGCGAATTCTCGCGATATTTCCCACTCTGGCGGTCAGGGGGAGGTAGTAGGAAGGCTGGGTGTCGGTCACGCGACCCGGCGGGGGCTGACGTCATTCACATCACGTGAACACGTCTAGACTGTTTCGCTTTGCAAAGGGAAAAAAGAAAAGGGGCCGTCGTGTGTGCTTTTGCTTTCAGCCAGATAGTGGCAATTGAGTGCACTCCGTAAATGGCTATCTGGAAAAACCATTTAGCAGTTCAAGAATGTGTCCTTCCCTTTAGCATATCTGCCATTGTTTTCAGTAGGAGGAAAAAAAAAGTATGCATTACGATTTAAAATAGATAAACTGCTGCCGATTGCTAGAACAACTTCTGGGCCCTCTTTCCAGTTCTCCTTAATGAAACTATGCAATTGCAAATTTAGCCGCAGACCAAAAACAGCGTTATGGACGGTCTTTTTCAAATTACTGCCAATTGTTCTACAGCACGGGACTATAAAAACCTTGCAATCCTATTGCTAATTTGCTCGTGGTATTACTTCATAGACAAAATTTCACAGCTGAAAGATAAAAGATAATTTGCAGACACAAGAGAATCTAAGATTTAAAGGCGCTGCTGCTTGCTCCCAAAGACTGCTATTAATTAATGTTACTTTGTGGTCATAGATAATCCTAATTCCTTTTTTCCTGATCTGGGGAACGCTTCTGCCAATGAGTGAGCTTTTTACTGAAGTACTAAAAATGTTCACAAATTTTAACGTTTATTACAACAAAATTGAAGTTCGTATGTGTTTTGATTCCCAGCCGTAAAAGGCAAGAAATAACTGTGTAAAATGTAGTGCTATAGAAAAAGATGATACCAAGAACTGCATAAAAGAAACATGGTCTCTAAATATTAATAATTGGGCTATAAATTGAAAAAAAAAACACAATTTGGTCTTGGCTAAAGATTTGTAATATCTGAACTATTTAGCAATGTGGCTCCAAGGTGATAATGAAATAATTTAATATTTTTCCCTGAATCTAAGAATGAAACAGAAAAAGTAAAATTAAAACAATAAAGGTAATATAAAAATTTACATCTGGGAAGAAAATTGTTTCTTAAATATTCAAGTAATGAAGTCTACATAATTACAGTATTTATCTCAGTTATTTAAACTACCAATAATTGTAAATGGTTATAATTGTGGAGTACAATAAAGGAAACATAACTGAGTTTTAATACTGATGTATTATTAGACAATAAATGTGTACATTTTTTACAGCAAACACTGCTTAATCTGTACGTACCCTTTCTTTGATTTATATTTTAGACTAAATATTTCTCTTATTTGAACAAATATTTACAGTTATTTCTGAAGTTTGAACCTCCTTAAAAAGTAGTCAGATTAGCCGGGCGCAGTGGCTCACGCCTGTAATCTCAGCACTTTGGGAGGCCGAGGCGGGTGGATCATCTGAGGTCAGGGGTTCGAAACCATCCTGGCCAACATGGCAAAACCCCGTCTCTAATAAAAATACAAGATTAGTCGGGCATGGTGGCATATGCTTGTAATCCCAGCCACTTTGGAGGGTGAGGCAGGAGAATCGCTTGAACCTGGGAGAAGGAGGGAGGTTGCAGTGACCCGAATTCGCGCCACTGCACTCCAGCCTGGGCAACAAGAGCAAAACTCTGTCTGAAAAAAAAAAAATAGTCAGATCAAAGACTTTGTTGTTGTTGTTCTACTTCAACATCATTTCAGGAATAGCTACAAAATAGAGATAAATTCTAAAAAGTGTAGAAATGTAGACCTATAAACATAATAACACTGGATGTTAGTGCCAAATGTATTTACATTTCATTATACATGCCTTACTAACTGCATGTCTGATGAACATGGTAGAGAAAGTTAAGAGGGAGAGTTAGTGAATAAAAAGTTAGTCATTAAAGTTGTTGAAGATAATAAGGCAGGCTTTATTCAAGGGGGTCCATGGTGATCAGAACCACTGCAACCAGGTCTTGCAGGAGGAGAGAGAGATTGGACTCTATTTCAACTCTTAAAAGGCCAAGTGGGGATTTACAAGCAAGGAGCAGGGTAGAGGGCTGTGGATATAAAATGACTAAGTATTCTCCCTCTTTCCTCTTTGGCAACTTGGAATTTAAAAAAATCCAAGACTTCAGTAGTTTCACCCAGAAAGTACAAGTTTCTAATGCTTACATTAACAAAGGCAGATATTAACAGATACTAACATTCATTGATTTCCTCTGCTACAAAGTTATAAGATAAGAAACAGCGAAGAGATAATGTTATCTCTATAGCTCCCCAAAGTGCAGAGTCCATCAGTAAATAGCAGATTCCTGTGAAAATTTTAGCAGGTGCTGTGTTGAAGCCACTCTTCACTGCAGATTTGGAGGCTAGGGGAAAAAAGTAACAGCAAGTTGCTGCCTTTCCAAACTATGATAACTAAACCATATAGAGCCAGACAGTCTACTGATGAGCAGATAATCTGTTTACCAGACCATCCATTAGTGCAAGATGAATTTGCAGTTAAAAAACAAACTATTCATAAAAGCAAAGCTAACAACAGAAGATATTTTCTTTGTTTCATCATGTGCTGAAAGAATCTTTTTCCTAAAAATAAAAATAAATGTGCAAATAAATAAGAAAACAAGTGATATCCATACAATGAAGAAATGTCTCTTTTGCATTACTTGCAAGTACATTGGTCAGCATGCTTGACCCTCCATGAACATACATGTTTCCCTGACACTCTGCTAAAAGAATTGCAGTAGGAAGGTACATTAAATAAGATGTATAATACACAATAATTGTATAAAAGGTTATAGAGTCATTAATAAAGAAAATAACAGATTTTGACTCTTCTGTGTACCTCTAATGATTTTCATTGACTTTCAACTTTGCAAACACTTATTACACTGGACTGTAATTAGACTGTCAGACCCTTCCTGGCAGGGACTGTCATTCAGTCCCCCCACTGTATCACTAGCACAGGGTTTTTGCCACAACAGGTGCTCAAAAATACCTTTTTTTTAAAAAAAAAAAAAAACAATATTATGGTATTAACAGTCTTGACTTTCCAAATATTAAAAATGCCCAATCTTTAATAGGGTATAATGAGGCCCCTTTGTTGCAATATTTAGTTGATTCTTTGTAATCCTGAAGTAACTTGACTTCTCTGTATAATTTCATACTCTTGACCTGAAATTCTCTCTGTTGGTTTTCATGTCTGATACCACACTTTCTATTCACAATACCTCACCCATTCCACAACATTTCTGCCTCTTTTCTTCAGTATCATTCCTGGTCTCTTTTTTCTCTGCCTCTGTGGTAAGTGATAGTGCTTTCAACCTAGGATTCCATCTTAGGTTGCCTTTTTTTCTCATTTTACACAGCTTTCCTAGGCTGCCTTCATAGCTATCACTGTGTTAATTATCATATGTCTTAAATTTGACTCTCCAGATGTAGACCCTAAGACAAGAATGTATGGAAAAGGGATTTATTGAGGTAGTATTTCCAGGGACAAGGATAATGTTAAAGAAAAAAATCTCATTCAATGATACTTGCTGAAGTATAGTAAGACAGATTTTATTCAGACTATCACAGTAGGTATAGTTACCACTGCAAGGGGGTTTTGCAGTAGGGGAAAGAGATTGGGCTGAACTTCAAATGCAAAAAAAAAAAAAAAGGAAAAGTGGGAATTTATATCTAAGGAGTGGGAGTGGAGGAAGGTAGATGAATGGAAAATTACTAAAAGGAAACTTCTGAGGTAAGGGGATAGTCTGGCTAAACCTACCTAACAAGATTCTTACTGAAGGCAGGCTGGAAGATTCTGGATAAACAAACTTAGCAGGATTCTTAATAAAATTGGGCTGATGCAAACATTTGACATGGAAATTCAAACGTCGAGGGTAGGAAAGAGGATTGAGAGAAGCCTAACTAAAATTTGGTGAAGGAGAGACTCTTTGTCAGTAGAGAATTGGAGAACATGGGACAAAAACAATGCAAAAACAAAAAGCAGCATGTGCCTTCAAGTAAAGTCCCAGCATCAGCCTTATTTTCAGGGAGCTCTGGAGTATATGTTATACCCAGTTTTGTTACCCTCAAAGCAAGGGCTTTCCTATTTCTTCACCAGTCATTCATTGATCACTAGCAATGGAAGAGGGAAACAAACGGACATAAACTCCCTTGGGGTCAGGGTCTGGCCGTCCTTCCTGGCGGGTTGAACAGCTCCAGTGGCTCCAGAGTATGCCACTGAGGAAAAAGTCACAGGTAGAGGCTATTACAAGAAAAGACTGCAGAAGTGGGGTATGCACACAGAACTAGGGCATGGGCACAGAACTGGGATTCCAGAGAACGGAGAGTGGAAGCACCAACAGAATCAGCTGGATACTAAAGTGCTAATGACCCTGCAATCTCTGTCTGTAGCAAAGGTCTTTTTCTGAGCTTCAGACTCATATTGCCCGCTCCCTACAGGAAACTTCCTCCTGGACATTGCACCTCTGACTCAACATGTCTAAAATTAATATGTCTTCCTTCTACATCTGCACCTCCTCCATATCTCAGTGAAATTTCAGGGTCATCCCACAATCAATCACAAGTCCATATACATCATAACATTCCTACTGCAAATGCCTTAGTTTAGGCCACCATCGTTTCTCACTTGGATTCAGAGGAATTCATACTAAACAAATCTATCATGTCTCTTCTCAGTATAGATATCATTATTAGCTCCCCATATATCTTTAGGAAAAAAGTTCAAAAAGTCTTTAGTACACCCTACCAGGCATTTCAAACTACTCACTGCTTAGTTTCATACTCATTCCTTGTACCCACACATACCCTAACTCCTAAACATTTCTAGAATTATCTTGCATTTCTCATTACCAGCATTCTAGATCAAACTATTGTCTTCTCTAACCAGTTTGCGGAAACAACCTCTTAACTGCATTAATAATTGTGCTTTCTTCCCTCTCCTACACACAGCTGAGAGAAACATCTTTTGAAAATAAATTTGATCCCATCATTCCTTTGCTAAAATGTTTCAGGTATGCCTCCAGTGATCTTGAAATAAAGACCAAAATCTATCAAGGTTTAAAAAGCCTTACATGATCCTCCAATATTGTTATACTTACTATGATTAGTATTTTAACCTGTCTGAAAATTTTTGAATGGTTTGAGGCAGGCAGGTATCTACTTTCATTTTCTTTTCCCCTCAAATGGATAGCTAGTTTTGCCAATGCATTAACTGAATAGTCCATCTGTCCATCTTTATCCTTTCCCACTTGTTTGAAAGACCTTTTTTTTTTTTTTTTTTTTTGGAGACGGGGTCTCACTCTGCTTCCTAGGCGCTGGAGTGCAGTGGTGCGATCTCAGCTCACTGCAACCTCCACCTCCTGGATTCAAGCAATTCTCGTGCCTCAGTCTCCTGAGTAGCTGGAACTACAGGCATGCACCACTATGTCCAACTTTTTGTATTTCAGTAGAGACAGGCTTTCACCATGTTGCCCAGGCCGGTCTCAAACTCCTGAGCTCAGGCAATCTTTGGCCTCCCAAAGTGCACGGATTACAGGCGTGAGCTACTGTGCCTGGCCTGAAAGACCTTTAAAAAAAATCATATATTCATTTACATTGGATTATTTCATTACTCTTCATTACGTTCAGTTTATCACTTTGTCAATTCCTTTAACAGTACTCTTCTCTTGATTCATGTAGCTTTAGAGGAGGGTAGCATTTATCTCAACAATCTTGGTGTTTAAAAGTTAACTTTTCCTAAAAGCCAATGGCTTAGCCTTTAAATTACCTTGGTCAAAAGTCGAAAATTATTTTTTCATCATGTAGGGGCCAATACCAAGGATTCACTACATGCTATGTAGCGGGTAGCTAATACAAACTATAATCAAAATAGACTTTAGAATATATTTTTAATCTATTATCACCAAACCTACAGAATTATAGTACTCTGTCTCATTTACGTAATGAGATGTCCAGCCAATTTATTATTATTATTATTATTGAGATGGAGTCTCACTCTCTCCTGGAGTGCAATGGCACGATCTTGGCTCACTACAACCTCCAAGTCCCAGGTTCAAGCGATTCTTCTGCCTCAGCCTCCCGAGTAGCTGGGATTACAGGCGCCCACCACTACCCTCGGCTACATTTTGTATTTTTAGTAGAGATGGGGTTTCACCACGTTGGCCAGGCTGGTCTTGAACTCCTGACATCAGGTGATTCGCCAGCCTCGAGCCTCCCAAAGTGCTGGGATTACAGGCGTGAGCCACCTCGACCAGTGCTAATTTATTATTATTCAGGTGCTACTTATTCATTTCCTACATAGTCAAGGGCCCTGTTATTTCTTATTCTCCTGCTTTTTTGTTTCCTAGAGTTGGCTTAGACTTGTTGATTCATTCCTTCAAAAAGCAGAAAGAAGTTTTAAAAATCTGTTTGCCTAATGACTTAACACATGTGGCTAAACCTAACCACCAAGGTCTGTTCCATCTTACTACACAAACAAGGTTTGGGCTGAATACATAGCTAGAATACCAGATTTTCCTGTTTTGAGATTAATTTTTTGGCAAAGAAATGGAGCAAAAGTGATATATGCCGCTTCCAGACCTGGTTCATGTTCTGGAATGTTCTCTAATGTTCTTCAGTCTCTGAACGACTGGGATGGCAATTCCTAGGGCAATCTTATAAGTATCATATTGAAGATTGCAGAACCACTGTCAGCCTGGGGCCCTGAAAGACTTCATACAACAGAGCTGCTGCTAATATGGAACCCTTGCCCTGACCAAAGAAATAAACTTCCTGTTCTTTAAGGAACCGAATTTTGAGGATTCTATTTGTTTCTGTAATTTATCCTCCCCTATCTAAAACAAAGTATGGAAACAAATTTTTAAAATCAAAAGCGCTATACAAATATTTATTGTAATTTAAACCTTAAGAATAAAATTACGATTAAATGAAAATATGTGATTTGCATTAAGGCCATATTTTATTTTTGTCTATTGTGCCTGTGTCCATGAGTGTGGTAATTGAGAGTTAGCTGTGTTGTAGAATGGCCCAACTCCAACCAGAACAAGTATCTTTATAGTTAAATAATTAAAAAAAAAAACACTACATTCTTGTTCCTATTTTCCCCGCCTTCTTCCCCCACTTCCCCCACACATGATTTCCATTCAATGAGGAAAACAGATTTTTAAAGGTTCTGAAAGTTATGACAATACCACTGAAA